>NC_000004.12:89830471-90133502 GCF_000001405.40 Homo sapiens | reverse complement strand
AAACAGCTATAATCTTATCCAAAGAAAGGTGCTTACTATATGCCAAAACCAAAAATATCACAGGAGAGTCAACAAAACTAAACAGAAATTGGTCAACTTTTGTATTGTGCATACCCTTTGCATTATAACTACCTACCAATAAGGTCCAGCCTACAGTCATTACTATCCAGTTAAATTTTCATGTATTCCCTCCCCAATCAACAGCAAATTCTTGCACAAGCAATGGGAACTCATTAAAAATTTGGTCAGAAAACATAGTTAAGATGAAAAACTTTTGATGGACAATGGAATATTTTCCAAAACTGAATATCTGAACCTTAGTTTACTACCAGCTGAGGGAAGTATTTATTTATAAAACAGAAGAAAGACATAGCCTTCAGTTTTTACTCTAAAATACTCTAGGTCAGTGGCTTTCAAATTCTAGAGTGCATAAGAATCACACAGAGAACCCCACCCCAGAGCTTCTGAATCAATCAGTCTGTGGTGGGGCTCCAGATATGGCATTTTAACAAGTTTATACTTGCTGCTATTGCTGCTTAGGACACCACATTTTGAAAACCACTACTCTAGGTTAAGAATTGTCACTAGATAATAAACTGTTTCTTTATAAAAGTCCTTTGGACTGTATTTAGTATCAAAGCACAGTTTAAAAATTCAAAACTTTTAATCAAGTTTAACTTTAATTAATATTTGAAAAGAGTTAGTGCAGTGTAAATGATGCAAAACCAAAAGCCGTGCTTTAAGTTATTCCAGGTATAGGGCCAGGAATTTGGCAAATAACTTCATTAGTTAATGATCTGAGCAGAAATCTTTTAACAATTTGTAATATATCAAACACCTCAGTAAATATTTCCAACAAACACCTTTTAAAAAAATTTAGGCTGCATGGAAACAACTTAAAATACAATATGGTTGTTTAAAGTAGACTGATAACAATATCTTGGTAATGTACTGCAGTTTAGAATAGTCAGCTTTATATTTTAATATTCAGTTTAAGCTTCATAGTAAAACATGTTTCTTTTGTTACAGTGTTTTCTCCTCAATCTCCCCATCTTTTTTCACTGCTTCTCCCACCCCAGACTTCATGTTTTATTGTTAACTGACACTCTTGCACAGGGAAGATAATATTGCTGATAGAAGTGTATGTACTCACTATAAAGCAAACAGATTTTGTCACTGTCCAATAGGGAAATCATGCAGAAGCTGTCAGTCATACAGTGGACGAGATTACATTATCGAAATGATACACCTGTGACATATAGTCCAAAACCAAATTCAAAAGGTACCAATTAACAGATAGGCTAGTTTGTACCCTAACTACATGGGGAATCATTCCATTCTTGCATGAATATAAAATTGGTGATTAAATAGGCTTTCACTTTTGTAATAACTCTTATCTATTCACTGTCAACAAAATATATATATGAAAATATTTTAATTCAACTAATCTGAAAGTAATTCCATTTGGTTATTTATTGAAAGTCATGTCTAATATTTGTGCAATTTCTTTACTGTCACCAAAACATACTTCTGGGGTGTCATATTGAATGTACAGGCTCAAAGTCAACTCAGATGTTTCCCTTTTATTCTTGAAATGAAGAAATGCATTTTAAGCAGTTTGTCTAAAATCAACCTATATACACAAAGAAAAAAACAACTAAGTTTAGAGACAGGTCATGGTGTTATTGTTAATACAATTTATTTATCAGAAGATAGTTAAAATAGCCATAAAATTGTTGCTAAAATTCTAAAATTTTCACTATAGGCTCCGTATCATAGCTCTATATTTATGGCAAATAATATATGGATAGATTAACTATTATGTGGCTGCATACAATAACTTTAAATAAAATCTAATCTAATAGATTCAATAAATCTAAGAAGTTTAAAATAAACTATTATATGAAATATATTAATAGACAACACATTTTATATGAAGAATAAAATGTTGAGTATTCAATAGATGCTCACTATTAATACTGTTATTCTTTTACACATCATCACACTTCTTTAGAGCAAACCTAAAAAGATTTGCTTAGGGAAATACCGAAAACACCTCACTATAAAGAGGTGTGCCACTTTTACTCAACACATTAGTGAGATGTGGATACATTTAAATATTTAAAGTACATATTCTCTACAAGAACTCTATTGCACTACTGTAGTAATACAAGTACATATTGTCTATTAAAAGGCAATATAAGCCAGGCGTGGTAGCTCACGCCTGTTACCCCAGCACTTCGGGAGGCCGAGGAGAGTGGATCAACTGAGGTCCGGAGTTCGAGACCAGCCTGGCCAACATGGTGAAACCCCATCTCTACTAAAGTAAATACAAAAATTAGCTGGGTGTGGTGGCGCGTGCCTGTAATCCCAGCTACTCAGGGAGCTGAGGGAGGAGAATCACTTGAACCCAGGAGGCGGAGGTTGCAGTGAGCCGAGATTGCGCCACTGCACTCCAGCCTGGGCGACAAGAACGAAAC
Organism: Homo sapiens; assembly: GCF_000001405.40. Lineage (NCBI taxonomy): Eukaryota > Metazoa > Chordata > Mammalia > Primates > Hominidae > Homo > Homo sapiens. The sequence continues at coordinate 90,131,022 of NC_000004.12, read as the reverse complement.
TCCATCTCAAAAAACAAACTAACAAACAAAAAGACAACATAAAGCTAAAGATTTGTCTTCTTAAATGTGTAAATATTAACAATTAAATTCAAGAATAGAATGTGGGCAGGGCGCAGTGGGTCACGCCTGTAATCCCAGCACAGGAGGCCGAGGCGGGTTGATCATGAGGTCAGGAGTTTGAGACCAGCCTAGCCAACATAGCAAAACCCCATCTCTACTAGAAATTCAAAATTTAGCTGGGCGGGGTGGCATGCGCCTGTAGTCCCAACTACTCCGGAGGCTGAGGCAGGAGAATCACTTGAACCCGAGAGGCTGAGGTTGCAGTGAGCCGAGGTAGCGCCACTGAAATCCAGCCTGGGTGACAGAGCAAAAATCCATCTCAGAAACAAACAAAAAAAAAGAATAGAATGTGTAGAAGGATGTACATCCAAAACAGACTCAACCTGCACTCTGCAAAATATCCAGCAATATCTTAATTTATATCAAAACAAACTTATCTTCCCTTATATGTTCTTTTCTATTATTCCAGGAGACTTGCATCTTATACCTTATATTTTTCTTATCCACAATGTACTAATCCTGCTTATCCTTTAACATCAAGATCAAGCAAGTCTTACCCACCCCCGAAGCATTCTCAAACAAAATCCAGTATGAAATGTTATTGTCATGTTCTGAACTCCTGTAGTACTCATTAGACATGTAATCTCTTATTGTTACGGGTTGTTAACTCTACGCTCAAGCATGAGCATCAGATTCCTCCCACATGGCAAGTAAGTTCCTGAAAGACAGGGAACAAGGAATCTCCCGTTCCTCCCCAATGCCTAGACAGTAGTACTTTGCAAACGTTAGGCCCTTTATTATGAGCATTATGATGAGTAATAAAATGCAATAAAGGGTTGAATAACTATTACTGTAAAAATATAACAAATTTTTCATTTTCTACTTTGTTTTATCTAAATTAACATTCTATGGTATAAATAATGTATCTTTAAAATAATAAACAGTTGCTGATTCTCTTAACTGTCAAAAAACAAAATACTCATAAATAGGACTTTTAATGATTGCAATAATACAGTTCATCAATTACATTTTTTAATTCCCTATTATATCTATGTTCAAATAGTTTGGGATAGTTGAGGTAATAACCCTCCGAATGGGGTTCTCCATCTGAGTTCTAACCTAATATTTAAAGCTGCACATGCTTCCGTGTTGAAAATGTATTTCAAAGTAATATAAATCTAACAAAATCAAAATATCAAATCCTTAACTCTGCTTTGTTTTTCAAAGAACAGGACTGTTTAGGAAAGCAATAAAACAATACAAACAACAGTTGGTTTGTTTTGATCAAAATAACTAATTAATTTAAATGAAGACAAATCACTCTGACAATAGGTTGACCAACTTCTCTTTTTTCTCTGTGAAACTATTGAAAGTGTGGTTACAACATGGAATTTCAATATTTGAAAAACATTGTCTTGGCAGGCTTTTAGAGACATTTCAGTTTGCAATATTAAGGATACTGTCCTACTACTAAACCCAGTCACAGTTCTATAAAAGTACAGGTTGCTACTTTTAAGAGAAAACATTCATTTTATAAGCACCGTGACAGGCACTGTCCCAAGGCATCTTTAAGTTTCAAGTTACGTATCTGGAACATGTACCTGTTATAAAGCAAACAGAAAGAGAAACCAAGACAAATTATATTATAGCCTAGATTACCAGTATTTTAGGTCTTCCCTTAATAACCAGTTTTGAAGGAACCAGTGATAACTGACCCCCACCTAGGTGTCCTCTTATCCGTTTTCCCTAAGGCTGTTAATAAAACCAGCTTTACTTTAAACGTGTACACATTATTTTTAATAGTCCTTGAGGGGCAGAGAAGGGAGGATGTGTGTTACATTTCAATAGGAAGGTATTCAACTGTAAAGATTTCAGAAATGAAAGCTGTTGAAACCAAGTAGGTATTTTCTGACTTGTAAGTCCTACTGACTGCCTGAAAAGGTAAGAGGGGTGGAGAAGAGGACATAAAAACATTAAAGGGCAAAGAATCTGTAACTTCTAAGAAGTATTTTTTTCTACCTGTAAAAATATGAGTTTTTTTTTTACTTCATTTCATATTCCATGTCCCACGAGAGGAAGGGGAAGCATAATTGCTTCTAATTCTGAGGCAGGGAGAGGAGAGAGAGAGAGAGAGAAAGAGAGCAGTTCAGGATACACTAAAAGGAAACCCCAAGAAATTTCACAACTCTTTGCCATAAATAGCCTTTCTTCTCACTCTGGATACCTCCTCCTTTACATCAGCAAGGCTCAGCCTCCACGCACGCAGAAGCACCATTCACAAATCCCTCCGTCACCCTTACCCCTTGCTGGCACCGTGTGTACGAGTCCCTGGGACACAAGCCAAAAGTCGAAGGGGCCAGGGGGCCACATGCGGTTTCAGCTTACGGCTGACTTTCTGCTCAGGTGAACCAACCCACTGGTTAGTCCAGAGCGCGCGCGCGCGCGCACACACACACACACACACACACGCACACAACCTGGGGCCCTTGACGCTCCACCACAAAGCAAGTGGTTCAATCTAAGTCGCTGCCGTTACTGCTGCCTCTGGGCAGGGTCTTGCTTCCAATCCAGGAAACTGGCGCCAGAGGACAAGCAGGCGGAGGCAAGAGGTGGTCCCGGCCCCGCACTGCGGTTCCTCCGGGAGCCCCTGGCTCCCCGCCCCCTCCTCCCCTTCCCCCTCTTCGCCGCCGTCCCCGCCTCAGCACCCGCAGCCCGGGGCGCCAGCGCTGACCGGTCGCCTCTACCTGCGGGACGCGAGTGGCGAGGAAGGGGAGCGACCCGAAGCCTGCGCCAACTCTCGCCGCCTTGGCCAGCGCTCCGCATCGCCCTGGAGCGGCCGCCGCGGCCGCAGGCAGCAAACCACGCAGCAGCGTGGAGGAAATGGCCACGCGGCGCACTGGGAGTCGCGGGCCGGTGGTGAGCGAGCCCGCCCGCCTCCTTCCCACCCCGCCCGCAAGGCCAGGTCTCTGCGCCGAGCACGCCGGGCCTGGGCGCGCGCTGCTCGCAGGCGGCCCCGACACGGCGCGGTCACCTGCCGAGCGGTCATCCCCGCGTCCGCCTGCGGCCGGCCCCGCAAAGCGGCGACGCGACGCGCGACCCGCTGAGCGCTGAGGCACCAGGGGCGTTACTACCTTGAGGGCTCCGTGCGCTTGTTAAGGCTCCTCCCGGGCACTCAGGGATTTATGTCTTCGGGGCACGGGGGTGTCCTTCCTGGTCCCCCTCCTCTGCCCTCCCTCCCCTTCTCGGCTGTTGGGCTCCTCTCCACTCCCAGTTGCACAGAGTCCAGCTGCGTTATTTAATAATCCTCCTGCTCCTCCTGCCTGCGCCAGCGGAGCTGCTCTGCCCGAGCCACCGCTTCCCAGTCAGTCATGTTGAGACAGAGAGAGAGAGAGAGGAGAGGCGGATTGGCAGTAGGTCGGCGACTATTTGTGGTGAGGGAGAGAAGAGCAGAGCAAGAGGAGGGCAGGGGAGGGACGTGGGGAGGCGCTTCCAAGTGTGTGAGTGCGCGGAGTGTGACTGTGTGGGGAGCGCGAGATCCACCTCCCCGGCAGGCCGCGCTCCGGGGCTGTGAGGAGGGCGGGCCCAAGCGCGGCCTTTATACAAGGAGGAGTGTGGTGGGCTGGGCGGGGCGGCTTGGAGGGCGGTGCCCGGCCCACTGCGTCCGCCGGATTCCACGCACGCATCCTCTGGCATCGACGCGCGCACACCCACTGCTGGCCCGCTGCTGAGTTTTCATTTTAGGGGAAGCAGTATCCCACCGTGCTGACCTGGCCTTTTCCCCCAGTCCATCCTAGTGCTTATGTGGAGTTCAAGTGCATAGGCAGGTCAAGACTAAAGAATAGGGGAAGTCTGAAGAGACGTGAAGTGACTGCGGGGATGCTGGAAATAAATGCACTGTATTTCTCCTCTCCAAGGTTCCGATGTTATCTTTTTTCTCTTCCTCCTGTAAGGGAAGGAATTACCAGATTCTTTCGCCGCTTTTCCTTCTCACCCACACAATTCACATCCTGACAAGTGTCTTCATTCCTCAGTAACAAGAAAAGAAACCTAGCTTCTTTCCTTTAAGCAGGTCACACCTCCCAGGAACCATTTGCAGCAATCAATTCTGTAAGATAATGCAAGCACTGCGACTGTGTCCGAGAGTGGAACTTGTGTTCCTACAAGGAAGGCCCTACACAATACAGGCATTACAAGAGAATCAGCTCAATTTGACATCATTTGACTGATGGTCCCCTGGAGAAAATTTGCCAGTTTAGAAATCGAAAAGACTTTTGATGCATGGTTCTGTTGCCTACATAATTTATTTTCCCCTGATCCTCTCTCCCCTTGCACTGCCTCATTTCCTTTCAGGTTTACACTAAGTACTGAACTCTTTCCCATCCATCCCCTTCTTTATCTCCACTCCAGTATATTTATGCCTTTAGCAGGCAATACAGCAAATGTAGTGCATTTAATTCTGTGTGTGTGTGTGTGTGTGTGTGCGCGCGCGCATCTGTTTTTAACCCATTCTGGTAGAATGTAGGACCATTTCTAGGTAGAAAATGCATCCCCAATATTAAGTTTGTACGCCTAACATCACCTCCCTTACCTTCTGCCCAGATTACAAGATGTTGTGATCAGGTGCACTGAGGTATTGAGAAAAACTTCCAGAAATCAAGTGATCTACAGTTTTTTCAAGGTGTGTTTGTGTGTGCGCGTGCGCGTGCGCACGCTCTGTGTAATCTAACTGGCTATGATCTAACTTCTGAAATGTGGTTATATTGGGAATAAAAGCAAGATGTATTTTTTAAATGAATCTGAGTGGTCAATGTATATTACAGCATGGGGACAACTCTGCTTTTGGGAGACAATTATAGGAAACATTTTTCATAAATTAGACAAAAGGAAGATAAGATTTAGGAGGCTACGGAGGAGGCGGCAAGGTTGACAATTCAGTTGTCCTATCTTCTTCCATGGCTTGTGACCATCGTACATCTTTAGGGTTTTGTCATATGCTGGCACCTTATATATTCTCCACATATTTTACCCTTTCACATTGATGTTCCTGTCTCGTAATTCTTCAATCTCTCATACAGAGTTTAGCAAACATTAAAAATGATTTAAGCATGTGATCAAGACCTAACAAAGAAGTGATATTAAGGAGTGTGATAAAAACAAAGTGATATTGGAAAGGACAGCAAGTTGGGACAGGTGCGTGAATATATCAATAATATAAGTATATAGGCCATTAAAGCTTCTTTGATTAAGCACTGGAAAAATGAATGGACTAACAAAGCATATTGGGATTGATAGTGTGCCCTATGGGACAGCTATTATTATTTCCTCAATTTTACAGACCAAGAAAGTTAAATTTTGAAAGTGTGTGTAGATAACCTAAGATCATACAAAGAATAAATAATGTCAATGGAACTCAATCTGTCTTATTCTACTGTCCATATCATGTCCCATTCAGAAGGCCTGGCTTACTTAAAAATCTCAGGACTTTCCTTAGAGCTTTTGTTTATGAAATAAGCTGACCTACAATCCTTTGGCATTTTTCTTCTACCTCCCTCCTTCTTTTTACAATGCAAGAGCGATTTATGAAATGTTAATGTTTTTTAGGGCTGGTCAACAATTTAAAAAGTCTTAACATACTTGAACTCATAAATGGAAAAAGAAAACTTTCCTACACAGTCCTTTCTGAAAGAAACCTGGTGTCATTGTAAAACGAAATTTTGTAGAGGAGATATTACTGAACATTTGCATCTAGTGAATACATAGGTGGTTTGAGAGCCGTAAACAGACATTTTAAAAGGTTATGTCCTCCTAAAGGGATGATACTCAATCATATTCAGCAAGTTTGTGGTGTTTTCAGTGTCCTGGTTCTCTATTTAATTGTCATTAATAACAATAATTTGATTATGACTGTATATTGCATACTTCAAAATTATATATTAGACCAGATATTTCAAGGGCATTTTTGGTAACCACAAATGATAGTAATTTTTACACTCTCAGTTCCATTCATAATTACTGAGAACCATGAAAAGCTGTCAATTGCCTTTATTCATTACGGTATTACAGGAAGCCAACATTTCTTGCTTAATTTTCTGACAATTTTTCTTTCCAAATAAAGGCTAGAATTTATATGCACTAGACCAGAAAGACATGTGAAACATATAACTTAAAACATACTCCTGAAAAGTTTATTCATTTTAATGATTTTGTATTTTTGTTGAAAAAAATCTGCACTAGAAACCCCATTTATAAATTATAATGAACCACATTTTAGAAGTTAAGTAAATGAATTATTCTCTTTTAAGATTGTTTAATGTTTCAAGTAGAATTCCCCACTTTGCAACACTTTCAATGATACAATTTTTGTTGTGATAGGAAAACAGAAAAAGTTAATGACTCTTTCCAATTTGTTCATTTTAATCTCATGTATGCTTGCTGCTGTTTGGTTCCCAAGTGCATTTAACTGGCAAGTTCAATGAAGATTTGGCATTGCACCATTTGATGAAAGCAGAAAAATTAGGTTGCCAATTACATATGTGCCCCTTATGTGCACTGAATTCCCACTGAAGTGATGAGCCAAATTAGAAATTCCTCAGTAGTCATACCTAAAAAGTAAAATTATAGCCCAGGGAAGGAAAGGGAGATTTTTTTCCCCAACCCTATTACTAGTCTAAGACATTTTAGAAAGAGAATTAACTTTAATACATTTGTAAAACAATGTTTGTAGGTGGAGTGTCATTAAACATTTTTAAATTGCATTTCTTTTGTTCTTTCCAAGCTATTTTATGTTTCTTTGATTTACTTTATACTCTATCGTGATTAGCCAATCATTATGAAAAAATATATGAAGACCATTTCCCCTAGTTGTTTTAGCCTAATGGAATACAAAAATTCAAGAAAATATTACGCATATGTTATTAGCATTCTGGATTTCTTTCATATTACTAAGAAGTAAATTATCCTTCTGTGATGACTTTTGTAATATGAAAGTGGCATCATTAGTACCTTAGAGCGACAGGACTAGTTAATTGACATCAAGGCTAAAACTGGCACTTAGTTCAAGACAAGGACTGATGAGAAAGTGTGAGATAGGAGATGTGCAGATGGACTCAGCTGCAGTTCTAGGTCCAGAGAGCACAGAAAAACTCAATCTTAATGTAGAAAACTCTTAGCTGGGCAAGTTTCCAGGTAGACAAGGCACAGTAGACAAGACTTTAAATAAAATTATTCTTCAGATATCTGATAGTGGTGACTATACTTGGTAAATTGTCTTTTTGCTGTGGAAATTCTGCCCAGTGGCAGGACAGCAAGATCTATTCATGTGGAAATCTAGGCAGAAGCTAAACTCAGGTGACTGGGTCAAAGCACTCACTGCATGAGCTGTCTTTGGTCTGGAAACTCCACAAGACACCTAGGATTCATGCTGTAGGACATACTTGGGAGCAAGACTATAAAGGTGAATGTAAGCCACTATCCTTGTATCTTGGCTATCATGTCCCGGATTTACCAAATGATGTAATTCTAAGCCCATTTTGTGGGCTAAGAGGATGGATAATAGAGGACATGGAGAGGCATCTCTTACCCAGCAACTGAAGTAATCTTGAATTTCCAGGAAGACTACCCAGTTTAGGGAGCTGAAAAAATTTCGAATAGTGTATAGATTTGTCAAAATAAAAATGATTTCCATTTTACATAACGCCATGAGCCCAGAATTTCACAATATAAGAGTAGCTTTATATAAATGACAAAAACTAGGAAATGCATTTTTCACATTTAAGTGGTGAAATGTAGTGAAAGGAGGCAAGAGCTAACATTAATGTTCTCTGAATTTAAGCCTCTCTGTTTATTAAGGGAGGAAAACTGAGTTAAAATAATGTTTATTAACATAAAACAAAAAATTTTGTAAACAGATTCACCATTAGAAACTTTTATATCATTTTCACATCTTTGTTTCTCTTTATTTTTTTAATTAATTAATTGTTTTTTTGGAAACAGAGTCTCACCATGTTGCCCAGGCTGGTCTCGAACTCCTGGGCTCAAGGGATCCTCCACACTCAGCCTCCCAAAGTGCTGGGATTAAAGGCATGAGCCACTTTTCTATTTCCAAATATAACTAATGAGGTCTTTGGGAAAATAACTTTAGGATTTCATGCTTTCACATGGAATACTTTTTTATGTTTGAATACAGTAGTTCTCTTTTATCCTTGGGGGATATGTTCAAAGACTCCCAGTGAATGTCTGAAACCATAGATAATATCACACACATACACACACACACGGAATAAAAACATTTATATATACACATACATACACACACACATATATATTTGTGTGTGTGTGTGTGTGTGCGTGTGCGCTCTGATAACCAAGAGGGCTACTAAATGACTAACAAGCAGGTAGTATGTACAGCTGGCTATGCTGGACAAAGGGATGACTCACGTCCCGGCGTATGGAGTGGGAAGGACTGAGATTTTATCACATTACTCAAAATGGCACACAATTTAAAACTTATGAATTGTTTATTTTTGGAATTTTCTGTTTAGTATTTTTGGACTGCAACGTTCCTCAGGTAGCTGAAACAGCAGAAAGTAAAACTGTGGATAAGGGTGAACTGTTGTACTATTTTTTCTGATTGTAATATTTTTAAAAAGTTAACCCAATTAATTGATTAATTTCTTGATGGCTATGGGTTATATAATCAAAGTGATTTTCTTTTAATTGGGCTTTTGAGTTTTTCTATTATGATTGTCCCTAGGTATCTATGTGGGTTGTAGACATTTTATCAAAATGAATAGGACATTTTGTCCTATTTTTAAAATAAAACATCAGTTAAACCGTACCTAAAAATAGTGTATTGATAAAATCTGAAACTAAAACTAAATCAGGTATATAAATCATATAAATAGATACAGTTATAACCATAGAAGAAATGAAACAAACTGTAATAGTATTCTGGTACTACTTAGATATATAATAAAAGTAAACAATGCTAATAAAATAATCTAAACCATATTAAACCAGTACTATAGCAGGTTGGAAACTGGTCTTACCATCTGTCACTTTCTATACTGGCAGTTTCACAAATGAGATCTCTTTTTGGCAAAACATCACAGCAGGAGATACAGACATGTGAATTGTAATTAAAATGTGAAAAATGCATTTCCTAGTTTTTGTCATTTATATAAAGCTTCTCTTATAATTGTGAAATTCTAGGCTTATGACGTTATATAAAATGGAAGTCATTTTTATTTTGACAAATCTATACATTATTCGACCAAAATTTTAACTTTAGAAATGAATGCATATGCTTTCATGAATTGAAGTGTGGTTTCCTTATGTCTGGTTCACTTAGTAGTGAGATTCAATTATTTTTAATCATCCAAGTATAGAAGATGAAGAGGAATAATTTGTATATATTTATGCAGTCTAGATCATCTTAAGGACTAATGTTATGGCTTTTTATATTTATTTATCATGATATTCTGTAAATAAAAACAATATTGAACTTTTTCATTTTCTGGAAAAAAAAGCCAAAATCATACACTTAACTCTGTAATAGAAAAACTGCCTGCAGTTTATATCTGGGTGAATAATAGTTTTATAGTTTCTTAGCATTTACATATCAAGGAAAGCAAAATATGCAATGTATGAAATGTGACTATTATTAATGTTACAAACATTAAGTGTTCAAGAAAACACTTGTGGTATATTTCAATTTTTTCAAGTTAACTAAGGTTAAAATAGCACATTTATATTCAAATAGCTCCCAATTTTTATTCTCACTGCCTATTTTTAACATCTTGGGAGTTTTCTCGAAATTTAAGTTAATATTAAAGTTAGCAGGTGTTCTTGACATTTATTATTCTGGGATTTATTATTCAAACACATTCATATCCCTGACCTACACTGGATGTAACAATGCTTTTTTTTTTAAATTTTTTTGCACTGTCATCATTTTCAACTTTCCCTCAAATGTTAACAATTTAAAAACAATGGATATTGAGATGGGAGTGAGTCATTACATCACCATGTAATCATATGTTTCAAATATGGCTATCACAAGCATCACATCTCATACATTTCTTACAATGTGATGTTGAAGATGCTCTGATTGAGTGGTAAGTTATGTTTCTCCCTCTTAAGCCTTAACAGACCTTTGTGATGGCCTTAACCAACAGAATATGATGAAAATTATGTTATGTAGTTTCCTAGGCTAGGTCATAAAGCTGCCATTTATTTTCTCCTTGTTCTCTTGGGACTCTTGCTCTTGGAAATTAGCCACCTGCTGTAGGGAAGCCAAGCAGCCTGTGTAAAGGCCCATATGAAGAGAAAGTGAAGCCTCCAGCCATTATCATCCCACATACAATGAGCACCAATTTGCCAACCGTGTAGGTGAGCCATCTTGGAAATAGAACCTTCAGCTCTCAATCTGTATACTCCAGCCAGCCATGTGGAGCGGAGGCAAGCTGCATTAGTTTTCTATTGCTGCATAGCAAGTTACCACAAACAAAATGGCTGAAAATAAATGTCAGCTTGTTAGATCACAGTTCTGTAGGTCAAGTCTAGCAAGGTGTGGCTAGTTCTTTGTTCAATATCACAGGCCTGAAATCAAGGTGTTATTTAGGCTGAGTTCTCATCTGGAGGCTCTGGGGCATAGATCCACTCCCAGGCTCATTGTTCAAAATTTAGTTTCTTGCAGTTGTAGGATTAAGTCTCTATTTGTTGACACACAGCTCCCCCCATTGTCAGCCAACAACAGCAGCTTCAAATCTTCATGCTCCAAATCTGTTAGTTCTTCTTCCACTAACCAGAGAAAACTCTCTGCCTGTAAAAGTGTCATATGATTATTTTATTAATAGGCCCACCCTGATAATCTCCCTATCTTGAGGTCAACTGTGCCATATAACATAACTATTCACTCAGGTAAAATGTATTATGTACTATGGTAACAGGTTCTAACTACATTGAAAAGGAGGGGATTATACAAGGGTGAGGGTTATTTGAATTCTGCCTATTACACAAGCTTTTCCCTAAGTCTTTAAATCCCACTAGGCTATAAGCCAGTTGTGGGCCCATGACTTATTTGCTTGTTATTATATCCCCAATAACTTGTAGAAGCAAAATAATGGGTGCTCAGGTGAAACAAGGATTGGAGTATGTGACTGTGGATTTATTCTTTATATCATTTCCAGCAAATCATATATAATAGAGACACATTATTGTTATTCCTTTGAGAGCCTTCATTTTCCTTCAGACTACTGACAGTCTTTTGTCTCTGATTCTTTCATAAGTTATCTTTTTTTCTGAACTAACTTTAAATATGAATGTTGCAGTCTAAGCATAATGGAGGAGTATATTCACTAACCTGATACATGAGAATTATTTCAAGATCTATTTTAATTGTTCATTTCTCACCAATATTGTATTGTTTAGTAGTAGAAAACATCTTTATTTGGAATCATAGAAAAGTAAAATTTGAAGGAACCTTAGTTATTCAACAAATTTGTACTGAAGATACTAAACCACACAAATAGTAGGGATACCAAGATGGGAAAAATCTTTTCCTATTGAGATGGTCATTGTAGAATACAATATGAAGTACAATACAAAAGGTACACAAGCAGTTACTCCTTGGTTTCAGGGAAATCAAAACCTGATCCTAGATATACTGCAACAATCACAGTAGCTAACTCTCAGTCTTTATTTTACTTTGGCAGATTCTGGATTGGAGTTGTTTTATACTGTGTCATCTTGTGAAACTTGTGTTTCCTGGAAATCTCTTCCTTTTATGGTTCTGAATTAGGGTTGGCTGGAAGAGAAGTCTTCATGAGATTTGGAAGAAAAAAATTAAAAGGGCAGCTTTATTACACATTGAAGATCAGTGTATGGAACCAGGTTCTGTTTTTGCTCCTGCTCCTTGCTGATCTGCTAGCTCACCTTACTGATTTGTGGCAGCAGCTGCATCTGAAGTTCCCTCCACTCCTGGGAGATCTTCTTAATCCTCTTAGAATGTGCATGTATAAATGTGAAGAGTGCCAGGAACTACTGCATTTTCACTTGTGTTGTTGACGTTGGAGGTGGCTAGAGACAGATGTAGATAGAGATTGTCTTTTGGGGTCCAAAATATCCAGTTTGTCCCAGCCAACCCCAAGTCCACAGATAGATTTTCTTTACAACTTTCAGTTCTGCTGATACTAGTGGCTTTCAGCTAGCCTTAGTTGCGTGGCAACAAATTTGCATAGACATCTTTCAAGCTCCCACAGTTGCGTAAGGTCCAATCCCTGCAATAAATATCTTACTCAATATCATTTATATTACCTCTGCTTCTCTGACGGAACATTCACTTACATGGATATATTTTGTAGAAATAACCAAAACAGCTCTGATGACTGGAGGTAGATGATGGGGAAAGACAAGAGACAAAGGTGAGTATTTCATAAATCAACCTCATAATTTTGATCATCTATTTGAAATATGTATTTAATTTTAAGCTTCTAGGACACCACAGTTCCTTGGTTTTACTCCTAACTTTCTCTCTCTGTAGTTTCTACTCTTCTCTGCTAGATTCTACTCACATCCATGACCTCTATATTTAGAGTGTTCCAAGACTCGGGATTTCAATTTCTGTTTTCTATCCATTATTCATTTCTTTGGTGAGCCCATTTAAGCTCCGAGTTTTGATGTCATCTGAATGCTGATGACATCCAAATTTGTATCTCCAGTCCTGAACACCGAACTCATGTCTAACTGCCCACTTGACATCTCTGTGTGTAGGAGCATCTCAAACTTAACATACTCAAAGCCTCCTGGAATTCCTTTCAAAACCTGTTCCATATGTAGTCTTCATTATCTCAGGCAATGGAAACTCCATTCTTCCAGTCATTTGTGTTAAAGACCTTCAGATTATTTTTAGCCTTTCTTTTTCTCTTATAATGTTCATCTAATGTGTTCCCAAATCCTATTGGCTTTATCATCACAAGATATGCAGTATCCAACCACTTCTCAAAACTTCCACTGCTGTGAACTGGTCTAAGCCACCATCATCTTTTATCTAGGTTATTTCAAAGGCCTTATAACTGATATCTGCATCTACCTTTGCCCCTCACAGTATATTCTTAACTCTGCAGACAGGGTTATCACCTTAAAATCTGTCAGATCATGCCACTGTCCTGCTTCGAATCCTCCAATGACATCCTGTCTCACTGAGAGTAAATGTCATTACATGACCCATCCCTCACCACTATGTATTGTTACAGTTCTCTCTGTGGAATCTCCTGCTTGGTCATGGAGGGGTCCTTCCTTCCTTCCTTTCTGACTTTGCTCAAATGTCACTTCATTGATGCCTTCCCTGGCCATTACATGTAAAATAGTAACTTCACCCCATACTTACGTTCACATCCCCTTCCAAGCCCCCTCACCTGCTTTATTTTTCCTTGGCACTTATCACTATCTAAAACACTGCTTATTCTATGTATTTATTCTTGTTTAATGTATTCATCCTCCACTGATATAAAAGATACTGAAGACAGAGATATTTCCATTTTTGCCTGTGCCTAGTGGAGTGACTTACACATAGGACCCTCAATAAATATTTGTTCAATAAGGAGAATAAGTCACTGATAAAACCACAAAACCATATATGCAATGCTAGAAGCACATACAAGAAGTACAACAGGGGGATGGAGAAGGTTTCAAATGCTCTTCGTTGACTTTTCTGAAATGCAAGAACAAATTCTTGCCATTTTGAACACATTTTTAAAAGATTTTTATATGGGATTTTTTTCTTCTGCTAAATCTTGGTGTTTATGAGTCATGTGGTAACTGAGAAATTTATCTTCACAGTGAGTCTAAAAGCAGATGGCATTCATTCATTTATTCATTCAGTCCATGTATTCAGAGAAGCAGAACCAATAGGGTATAAAAATATATACACACATATAAACCTGAGAAGATTTATTATGGTAATTGGCTCACAGGAGTATGAAGGCCAAGAAGTCCCATGATCTGCCATCTGCAAACTTGAAGAACCAGGAAAGCTGATGGTTTAATTCTGCGCAAATGTGAAGGCCTAAAAACCAGAAGCTTCTGAGGGCAGAAAAGATGATGTTCCAGCTCAAACAGAGAGCAGCTTTACCCTTCCCCCCACCTTGTATTTTTCTTCTATTTGGGCCCCAAACAGATTGGATGATGTCTGCCCACATTGTTGAGGTTGATCTTCTTTATTCAGTATACTGATTTAAATGCTAATCTCTTCCAGAAACTCCCTCACAGACAAAAAGTAATAATGTTTTGAGTCATGAGTAGTCCTGCCTAGTTGGGTTGTTGTAGTTTTTCACTGACTTTAATAACAGGGCATGATAATATTAAGAGACACCCTAAGGGATCTCCTGTATTTCACGCATGCTCCTACTTACTACCATTGTGGAGTGGTAGTCCATTTCCCTTGATAGTCTGTATCAATAATCTCAGCCAACACCACAGCTTTCTTCTAGGCCTGTTGACTCAGAAGCATTAGAGGTTCAAAGTGGCCTAGTGTTAGTTTTAATTTCCAGTTCAATTAAATTATTGTTGTGTCTCCTGGTGGAAGCATTCTTCTCTCTGGAACTAAGACTTCTAGGCCAGCAGAACATAAATTCTTGAGAACAGGAAACAAAACTTTTTTTAGTGAGTCTCTAGAGGTGATGGTGAGTGATGCCACTCCCATTTCCCCACTGATTCTGGACCTAGCTATTGGAGAAACAGGACTTTATATTGAATGATGATTCAGAGCATATACAGCCTCCTGAAGAATCTTGCTCCAGCCCTGCAATACATTGCACCTAGCTGGCACTGTAATTGAGTCTTCAATAGGCCATTTCACTGTTCTGTCAAGCCACCTGCTTCAGGATGATGGGGAACATGGTAAGACCAATGAATTTATGAGCATGGGCTCACTGCTACACTTCTTTTGCTGTAGTGTGTTCCTTGATCAGAAATGATGCTGTGTAAAGAACCATGCTAATAGATAAGGCATTCTGTAAGTAAACAGAAACATTGCAGAGAAGGCAAACCTATAAACCCATATCCAGGGTGTCTAATCAGTAAGGCTGTCCCTTCCATGATGGAAGTGATCCCATATAACCAACCTGCCACCTGGTAGCTGGCCGATCTCCCCAGCAAACTGTGACATTACCACGGGTTCAGTGTTGGTCTCTGCTGCTGGTGGATTGGCCACTCAGCAGTGGCCATATTCAGCTCAGCTTTGGTGGGCAGAAGTCCATGTTGCTGAGTCCATGCATAACCTCCATCCCTCCCACCATGGCCATGTTTTTCATGAGTCCATTGGGCAGTGACAGGGCTGACTAGGGAAAACCTCACTGATATTCTTAGAATGGGTCATCCTAGCCACTTGATTATTAAAATCTTCATCTGCTGAATCTACCTATTGGTGAGCATTTATATAGGACACACGTATCTTCATGGGTTTTGGGGGGATTTTTTTTTTGGTCTGTAGAGAGGTCTTTCCACATACTTTTTCCCCAGATTTCTTCACCACTTATTTTTCAATCATATCCCTTCCCTAGGCCCTGACCATCCAGCCAAACCGTGGGCTATAGCCCATGAATTGGTATTTAATCTCACATCTGACTGTTTCTCTTTCCAAGCAAAGTGCACAACCAGGTGCATTACAAGATGTTTTGCCTGCTGGGAGAATTTTGGTCCAACAACATCCTTCAGGGATGTCCTGGAGAGGAGATGCAGTGCTAGAGCTGTCCACTTTCAGGTGGTCCTTGCATATCATGTAGAACCATCTGCAAACCAGACTTGAGTCTTGTAAACTGCATAATGAAAGGAGTAATGCACTGCATTGCTATGCTGTGGTCAACAATGAACTGCATTTACAACGGTGGTCCCATAAGATTATAATAGGGCTGAAAAATTCTTATCACCTAATGACTTTGTATCCATTGTAATGTGGTAGCACAACACATTATTCAAATTTGTGATGTAGTGTAAACAAGTGTACTGCACTGCCAGTCATAGTCATATAAAAGTGTAACACAAATAATTATGCAACATAAACAATTATGTAACATATATAATACTTGATAATAGTAATGAACAACTATGTTACTGGTGTACGTATTTATTTTTAATCATATTTTAGAGTGTACTCCTTCTACTTATAAAATAGAGGTTAACTGTAAAACAGCCTCAGGCAGGTCCTTCAGGAGGTGTCCCGAAGAAGGCATTGTTATCATAGGGGATGACAGCTCCATGCATGTTATTGTCCCTGAAGACCTTCCAGTGGGAGAAGATGTCAAGGTGGGACACAGGGGTATTGATGATCCTGAATCTGTGTAGGCCTAGGCTAATGTGTGGGTTTGTGGTTTAGTTTTTCACAAAATAAAATGCTTAAAAAGTAAAAAAATAAAGTTTAAAATAGAAAAAAGTTTATAGAATAAGAATACAAAGAAAATATTTTTGTACAGCTGCATGTATTTGTGTTTTAAGCTGTGTTATTACAGAAGAGTCAACAAGTTAAAAAACATTTAAAAGTTTATAAAGTAAAAATGTTACAGTGAGCTAAGGTTAATATATTATTGAAGAAAAAAATTCCTAAAATAAATGTAGTGTAGTCTAGCTATATAGTGTTTACAAAGTCTACAGTAGTACATAGCAATGTCCTAGGCCTTCATACTCACTCGCCACTTACTCACTGACTCACCCAGAGAACTTCCAGTCCTGTAAGCTCCATTCATGGTAAGTGCCTTATATGGGTGTACTATTTTTTATCTTGTATACCATATTTTTATTGTACCTTTTCTAGGTTTAGATGCATAAGCACTTCCCATTGTGTTACAATTGCCTAAAGTATTCAGTACAGTAACATGCTGTATAAGTTTGTAGCCTTATATAGCCTAGGTGTATAGTAAGCTGTACCATCTAGGTTTGTGTAAATATACTCTATGATGTTTACACAATGATGAAATCTCCTCATGATGCATTTCTCAGAACATATCCCCACTGTTAAGTGGCACATGACTGTATGTGTGTGTATATATATATACATATATATATATATATATATACGTATATATATATACATATATATATACGTATATATATATATATACGTATATATATATATACATATATATATACGTATATATATATACATATATATACGTATATATATATATACATATACATATATATATACACACACACACACACGTATATTTACAGGAGATATATATACACATACACACATAATTATACATAATATATATTAATGTATAGAATTTATATGAACAGGATGTATATGAATATATACATATATGACTATATATACACATTATATATATGGACACACACACACATACAGAGAAGAGAGAGAGATTATTGAAATTGACTCAGCTATTATGGAGGCCAAGAAACTCCGTGATCTGCCATCTGCAAGCTGATATCCAAGGGGTGGGGAAGATGGATGTCCCAGCTAAAACGAAGAGGAATTTTACCCTTTCTCAGCCTTTTTGTTCTCTTCGGGCCCTGAATTAATTGGATGATGCCTGCCCAGATTGTTGAGGGTGATTTTTATTTAGTGTACTGATTCAAATGCTGACCTCTTTCAGAGACACCCTCACTGACATGTCCAGAGTAATGTTTTACCAACTATCTATGTATCCCTTAGCCCAGTTAAGTTGAGGCATAAAATTAACTATCATAGTCCACAAATTGAGTGGCTACTATGTACCAGGAGCTAGATACAATGGTGAATCCTGCAATATTCAAAAACTTTTAATATATTATTGTTATTATTAGTTTGTGGTTTTTAGAGAGTTTCTTGCTCTATCATCTAGTCTGGAGTGAGTGGCGCTATCAGAGCTCACTGTAACCTCAAACTCCTGAGCTCAAGTGATCCTCCCACCTCAGCCGCCTAAGTAGCTAGGATTAAGATGTATACCACCATCCCTGGCTTATTTTTAATATTTGTGTAGAGACAGGGTCACACTATGTTGCCCAGGCTGGTCTGAAACTCCTGGCCTCAAGCAATTCTCCTGCCTTTTCCTCCCAGTGCTCTGTGATTTACAGCCATGAGTCACCCCACACAGCCACAAACTTTAATTAAACATTGGCAATATAGTAGGCAGATGCTAAGTTATGGAGATTTAAAACAATTAAAATACAGGCAAGAGGTGAAATTCTAATAGGAAAGCTGAATAAATAGGCAATTACTAAACTGTATTAATACTATAATAGATGCAAAATGGAATATTTTGTATTATCTAACAGGTATAAATAATGCAGACTTAAGGGGTGGATTGTCAGGGAAAGATTCTTAAAAGTTATTTTATCTGGCCTAAAGTCGAAAAAGTATGTCTTGCTTGACTATATAAACTTTATTAGACAAGTGGCAGCATAATATTTATTCCATTTTTTGAGTAAGTAAGCATTCATTAATGTTTTAATATTCCAATAACTTAAAAATATCTGCATTTGGCACTGTTATTTTAATAAACATTAAATTTATGAAGCCATATTTAATCTACAAATTTTATTTTTTATTTTAATTACTAATCTAAAATAAGACAAGACTGATCATTTAGACATCTTGAATGTTTTCCAGATTAATGTTGACATAATGAAAAATATTTATGCACCTATATATGTGAGAATCTCTGCTCATGAAAAATAACACAGTAGATAATATATGCTTAAGAACCATAAAGGTGAAAAGGAATGACAGTTCTGCAATTTCTCTTTTTTTCTTGAGATTCAATGTATGGGAAAAAGTCACATAATTTTTAGTCATATTCTGATTTATTTAATTGTGTATGTAGTTGTTGACATCAAAAGCATTAATTTTTTAGTTTTTAAATCCTGTGTTCAAGTAAAATGTCTAAACAAAGAAGATGATGTGCTGTTTTGCAGAAACTATGTTGGAAGAGTTGTTTAAGTTATGTGTTTAGTGCAAATCCTAAGGCTACTACTCAGGAAAGACACCAATTAGAAATAGACTTGAAGAACAACCAGAAGGCTTAAATATAATTTCTTCCTGAATATTCTCCCTGAATTCAAATTGTTACGCTAACATGCATAGTTCACTCAGTATTTTTATATGTCATAAATTTTTCGAAGCAGTGCTATTTTTGTCCATATCCTGCATAAAACACAGCCTCAAAATATAGGTCAGGGTGTTACTTACTGCTTAGAGCAAGTACACACTTGGGAAATTTATTTTCCTAAAGACATATCTGAAGACCGATAGGTGTTTGGACTTTTTGTTATTGAGATGTTGTTATAAAATCTCTAAAGGTCTCTATCTTTTATATGTAAACATAAATGAACATTTAATATAAACAGTAAGGATCTGTTTAAAAGAGATTCATATCTAAAATTTTAAGGCTTATGCATTAACTTGAATCTTTTAGAAATGCCATACCTTGATAAAATCAGATTATACAGCCGAAGCACCATCTAGGAAAAGAAACTTCTTTCCTTGTAATTTTAATGTCCAGATTAATGCTGTATTTATAATAATATGATTCACCTGCTCTTCCTATTCAGGGCATGAGACTGTGCTTCTTATGTTATCCATTCAATTTGGTATTTTTCTTCTAACGAAGGCACATCTGCGTTCTTTTAGTGTTAATTTTCAATGTTCTCCTAGGAAAAGTATGCCTGGAGTCTGGATGATTACTTCTTGGGAAGCATTTTCTTTTGAAAGGGTGACAAAAGTGCTAAAGCATGTAGAATGTGCTACCATATTAAATATGTGTTCATTAACAAAAATAAATTAAAAATGAAGGTGGTTTAACGTCTCTAGGGCAATAGCAAGTTATGCCTCACCAATTTGCATGAACTTGCATCCCTAAATTTTCTTCCACTTGGACTCTACAAAATGTATAGACTCACACACGTTTTGGGAGACACTTCTAAGAGGTTCTTTTCCCCTTAACTGTTAAAATGTTTAAGGTGTTTGTAGGCATTCAATTCCAGTAACTGCTGTTATTTAAATTTTTTGCAGAATATATAGAAGTATACAAATACCTCCATATAATACTTTGTCAAGAAAAAGATCCTTTGATTAGAAAAAAAAATCCAGCCCGTGTTTTTTAAGGAAACGATTTCTCCTTTGTTTTCTATATCTTCAATCACTTCCACTCTCTCTCCTTCTCTTCCTCCTGCTATTCCTCTTTCTTTTCTTCCCCTGTCAGCATCCCTCCCACTCCCATTTCTCTCTCATAATCATAATGACTGACTTCATTTGGGGCCTTATTCACAGGATAGATACTATACCATTTCTTCAAATGTCCTAATTAAAATGAATACATTTTTAAATAAAACCAAACATAGGATGGACTTTACTCTTGTATCTCCTTGATTAAGTTAAACAGGTAACTCCATTTGTGTGGGTTAAGCTACCAGTTGATGAATAGATTATTTCCAGTGTTTGTGAGCTTACCTCCAAATTCTTAGAGTAGATTTTTATAGCATAGTATAATTGACTTAGGAGGGTTTTTCAGAGAATGTATGATGGTTACACATGTGCCACTATCATCATAAAGGTAGCAACATCATTTAAATTATTGCCCTTCACAGTCTTCTATATTCACAAACTTCTTAGCTCCACTGTAATCAACTTACAAAGAAAGCCATGCCATTGGCTGAAAAAAGAAAAAGTGTAATTAATAGTGCACTTCTCTACTTCAATAAAATAAAATAATAACAACAAAATAAAAACTGGAGTGGGGGAGAGGGCATACACCTGATTGTTGCTTAAACAGAAGGCATATTTTTTGAAAAATATGGCTCAACTGTATAAATTAGGAAAAGTATATAAACTTAATAGCTGCTCCAATAAAAGGTCATAAAATGAAGTGACGATGAGCCCCAGCTTTGCAGGTCCCACAGAGCTGGCATCAAATATTTGCACCAGATTAATTAGCAGACCAACTTTGGGTAAGTTACTTAACCTCTATAATCCTCAGTTTCTGCATATGCAAAATGACAATAATAATAGTATTTGCCATCATTGGGTGTTTGAGAGAATTAAATGAGAGAGCATGGGAATGTTTAGTATGGTACCTGAACAAGTATTTAGTAGATGGTTATCTATTCTTATTAATATGCACCAAAGTCAACTTGGTAACTCAGTGAAAATATGAATTCCTCCAAACTACTGGGCAACTAACTATATGTAAAAAGAACTCCAAATTACCCTCTGTAATATAAATAAGTGCTAAAAAAAAAAAGTGAATTCAATTTTCTGTGCAACTTGCCATAACATAGCTATATTTATTTTCTAGTCATAACATTCTTAAGTAATGTTTTTTCTAGTATTTAAAAATTTTTCTTGAACAACTAGAATTTGTCAGCTGTTCTAAGACCAGAGTGAAGATAAAGAAGTGGACAAGGCAGGTAGAGTTCTTGCTTTTCTGGAATTTACATTCTGGTCAGTAGAAGAATGAAGTAAACACAGACAGACAACAAATGTATTAATAATACATAAATACAGTAATTTCATAAAATGATACATCCGATGAGAACAAGAAATCAACATGCTACTCAGTGCATGATGGGGTGACTTCCTTGATTTGCATGTTGTGTTAGGCCATTCTTGCATTGCTGTAAATACCTGAGACTGAGTAATTTATAAGCAAAGAGGTTTAATTGGCTCACAGTTCTGCAGGCTGGACAGGTATGGTGCTGGCATCTGCTCAGCTCGTAGGAAGGTCTCCGGGAGCTTTTACTCATGGCAGGAGATGAAGCAAGAGCAGGTAAGTCACATGATGGAAGCAGAAGCAAGAGAGAGAAAATTGGAGGTGAGGCACCACACACTTAAGTAACCAGATCTCTCAGGAGAACTCATTCACTATGGCGAGGACAGCAGCAAACCATAAGGGATCTGCCCACATGACCAAAACACCTCCCACTAGGACCCACCTCCAACATTGAGGATTACATTTCAACATGACATTTGGTTGGGGACAAGTATGCAAACTATATTAGGAGTGCCAGGAGTGGACTTTCTTTGAAATTATATTTAAACTGATTTCTAAATAATAAGAAGGCCAGCTACAGCCAGGGCAAGACCCTAAACTGGGAACAAGTCTACTATATTTCTGTGTAGGATGAACAGAAACCAGGACCGTGTGTCTGGAGCTCATTGGTCTAGGGGAAGAAAAATGCTCAAATAATTTATTTAGTTCTTTTATTTATTTTTCCTTTTATGGCTCATTGACTACTTTCTATTTAATTGACATGTTTATTCTTCATGGTAGAACAAAAACATTTCTTTCTTTTATTTATTTATTTATTATTATTTTGTTTTGTTTTTTTGAGACAGAGTCTTGCTCTGTCACCCAGGGTGGAGTACAGTGGCACAATCTTGGCTCACTGCAACCTCTGCCTCCTGGGTTGAAACAATTCTCCTGCCTCAGCCTCCCAAGTAGCTAGGATTACAGGTGTGTGTGCCACCATGCCCAGCTAATTCTTGTATCTTTAGTAGAGACAGGGTTTCACCATGTTGGCCAGGCTGGTCTTGAACTCCTGACCTTGGGCAATCCACCCACTTCAGAATCCCAAAGAGCTGGGATTACAGGCATGAGCCACCACATCCAGCCAAAAACATTTCTTTTAAATCTAAGATAGCTACAATATCATGGAACAAGCTCACTGCACCATTCTGACATCGCTGACAATATTAAAAATTCTACAAAATTTATGTCACTAGTAAGTTTCAGTGAGTCTATTTCCATCTGCAGGAATGGAAGTAGGAGGTATGGGAAAATACAGAATGCAGAATTGTGATATCCTTGTCCCACCAGCATGCAAATCATTTATCAGTGCACCGCTATACAGAAGCTTTCACTGCCAGGGGTCCCTGAGCAAATCATTTCCATTGCTAGTGTGTTCTAATAACCCCTTCGCTGACTCAACTACCTGAATGTAAATATCATAGAAATGACTAGGAAATAAAAGCCAGTTTGAAACAGCGAAAAAGGATCTAAAAGAAAATGTTTCCTGCATATGCCTTCATATTCGTAACTCTTTGTTTAAAAATATGCTTATCATAAAGTCTTTTGACTCTATTTGAAGCCAAGAGAAGAAAAATCACTCCTTTCCACATATCACTATATGCTGTTAAAGCTTCCTATCTTAAATGGCAGCTGTTTTACCCCATACTAACACAATGGATATAGCAAATCTTCTAATATTACACACACACACACACACACACACACACACATCCCAACTGAAATTGCCATAAATATCAAAATAGTCACAGTGAATTCCTTAGTATTAAAGTCTTCATTGTTTATTCAATATCAGTCTTAGTGTGTTGTCTTGAGGTACAAATGGGATCATGCGCTATTTATTTGTGATACACAGGAGGTGTTTTTTAGTCTCTGCTGGAGTTTCTGTTTAGTCCTGTATTCGCTTTACATATTCAGCCTTTCCCCCAACCCCCAACAGCCTTTTAATACTACTAGCTGTTGAATTTAAAGGCTGGCCTCTGGGGGGAAAATCCTTTGTGAGATCTATATGGTGACAATATTTAAGTAAAAAAGTATACTAGTAATATTTTTTGGAAATTCGTTTTAAATAATATTAGTGATGTAGTTTGTTACTACATTCATATCTAAAATATGAGCTAGAAATATGATTATTACAAGTGATTTTTAAACCTTCATGATTATGTATCTTAAAGCCGGTCTATGTAAGTTTAAAAGACTATAAATTGCAGAGAAGTGAGCAGCTACCTTTAGAAAGATTTTGGAATTAATACAGTGTTGAGTTAAAATCCTATCACAATTAAAGGTAAAATATTAAAATACATTTTAGAATGTAAAGGCTTAAAGAAGAGACATTCATGATGAAAACATAGAGTGAATTTGTGGCTATTACAATAAATGAGGAGCACTGAATCGTGCCAGAATAAATTGTATCCCTGACAGTTCAAGTGAGATTTTTATTGGTTCTACTATTCTTTTTTGGAATACATATATGATATCAGTTCATTCTTTTCCAGTCTGGTATAAATATGTGAACATTTTTAAAAAGCGTAAAGTTCCCTTATATGTAGATTCCAAAGCCCTTTTTGCATTAATGCTGGTAGGTCAGGTTGAACTTAAATAAGACCTGTTTAACAATCAGCAATTTCTTGCTTGGTTCCTGAAAGCCATGTGTAAACCTTGCCTTGGAGGTCACCCTATGGAGACAGCTCAGTATGTGTGTGTATGTATATGGAGTGGTGTGGGGAAAGAACTGATTATTTGCATTTGACTCCATTTTTGCCTTCAACAGAACATAATTACAGTTATTTATAATAATAATATTAATATTGTTTCCATAGATACCTATTTCTGCATTTATTTGTTTCTAAATGGTGTAAGTGCTTTTCTCTGTTTTATGTCCCTTAGAGTTTGCTTTACAAAATTTATTATCTAGCTTAAAGAAAATTCATCATTTCTTCTAGATTTTTTTTGCCCCTTTTTCCCAGATAGAAGTTTCCTGAAAATTATACAGCAAAAATTTGAGAAACAATAGTTGGAATATATGTCTTAGTTAAAACAGAGTGCTTGATTCTGAAAAGGAGCTAGTGTTTGTTATTGTATTAATCTTCTCAGCAGCCAAGTGTGAGAGATACCTCTATTTGATAGATGAAAAACTGAGGTTTAAAGAGTAAGAAATCTATAGAAACAAGATTCAAGTTCAGGAGATGCAGCCTCCTGCCAAATTTGGATGGGGTACAGGTAAAGTTAAGATTAGGTTATTGCAGGAGGAGTGAAAAGTGAAACAAATGGGATGAAACTGAGGTTGGTTCTTAGAGTTGTTAATTGATAATATTTATTTCTTAAATAATGCTATAGTAAAGTTTAAAAAAACGCAGAACCCAGAAATTTCACTAGGCTAATTATGTAATTAACAACCAAATATTTATTATGAAGAATTTACTAACACTAGATCCCAAGTACAGTGTTTCTGTATTTTTTCTAGTTTAATAAGTGTTAATGGCAAAGAAACAATGAAGCTCTTTTAATTGTTTAGTGATTTCATTTCTGAATGGTGTATGCATGGTGTAAAGATTAGGGAATTAAGCTAAATATATATCTTTTTAAGATGAAAAAGACAAAGAAAACCTACTTTTCCATTCAATGACACAATCTTCCTTTAAATTAGAAAATGATAAATTTAAAGGCAGCCCCTTTTTTTCACTGGTTTGAACATCAGCAAACTAGGGCTTTGTTAGAAAAAATGATAATTGTAGAGGCTCCATCAATCCTGGAAAATGCTATTCTATTATCAGCATTCCAGCTAATTTCAGCAGTCAGCATAGAGTATGGGAAAGGTGACCTTGAATACTGTATCTGACAATCCTTGTTTGGAATATTTGCCAAACTCAACAAATTTCACGAAACTGAAAGCCAGTGCACACTGAATGGAAAAATTAGAGAATTCAAAGCAGATAAAACTGCTTTTCAGATCCCAATCAGTTCCCTTATCTCTCTTCTAGCTCCATCTCTAACTGCCAGGCCGATTCACTATCAAATCATCATTGTTTTCAGAGTCTCCTTTGCTCTCTCTTGTTCTCTTTTTTAATCACTTTTTATCATGACATCTAGTTTTATATGTTTATATAATGTATCACAGTTTCTACCATTTTGCTACTTTCAACTTCCTTTTTATTTCCCTTTGCTTTTTCCTAAAAGGCTTATAACTATCAACCCTAAAAAAGAGCCATATTTTAAGGAAATAGGAGCTAACGACAAAAACAAAAACAAAACCCATCAACAACCTTGACTACTGATTTATGATCATTTATCTAATCTAAGCACTTCACAAATTAGGTATGTTGGTCAAAGGAGCAGAGAATTCAGAGTTAGTGATTTTGCAGAGGTCTTATAACCTGACAGCACCTGTAACATGTAATACTTCTTCCACTATTGTACACTGATGTGTTTCATGGTTTAAAAGTCATAGAGTGACCTTACTGCTAATCCCATGCTTTCTAGTATTCTGTTGGTCTCGTATTATGTCCTATCATGAAAATCCAGAAATCACCTTTTGATAAAAATGAGACCTAGATTTGTGCAGAAT
Source organism: Homo sapiens (assembly GCF_000001405.40). Lineage (NCBI taxonomy): Eukaryota > Metazoa > Chordata > Mammalia > Primates > Hominidae > Homo > Homo sapiens. Next base: position 90,104,877 of record NC_000004.12, on the reverse strand, counting down.
CATATTTACTCTCTAAAGCTACTCTTGGGTTCTCTGTTTTAACGAATATCAGAGATCAGACAATCTACAGGGATGCCCTCCTTAAATCCTACTAAGAAGTCAGTCTTTTAGGAAAACTCTGGGAGTTTTGTGAAAATATAATTCCCTTACTGACACTGCAGGAATTGTAACATCTTGGAAAAAGCTTTTAAAAAATCTGCTTTTCTAGACAACAAATAGACTTGTGCTTCAAGGCATTCAAGATGGTCAGAAAGATCTGTTACATGCACCTAGTGGGAGCTTGATATATTCGGTGAGTGAATAAATAAAAGTGAAGGAATGAGTGAAATAAATGCATAGCTTGAGAAGTTGAGTAAATAACAGTTCATAAGGTGTTTGGGTTTTTCCTTAAGTAAGAAATGATTACATAACTCTTCCAGTCTGGCTCCTATATGATCTGACATGCTTATGTCCTTTGCAGCGAATGGATAGAAAGCCACCTTGGCATCTATACTCCATCTCTAGATGAAAGTCATACCACTCTACTCTGCTTGCTCTGAGCTCTTTACTTCCCATGTTCCTTCTCGTTTGACTGCTGTTCTCTGTTAACTTCAGTACTTAAGTACCTTGCTCCAACCTAGGCACCGATGTGTAGATTCAAGGTATATTTCTCAATATTTGCCCTCCAGCCACCAGAATTACATCACCAGAGAGGAATGACACCTTCCCCGCATCAGGTTCCATGATGAAATGAAACAACTGGGCCTGCTCCCCTCCTAGGAATTCCATTCTGAGGAGGGTCCAGGCCCTTACTCCTAAACCAGAATTCTCCCAGGTCTCTCCCTTTGTGAAAATTTTGAGACATGTTTTACCAAGCAAGATTAGCCATCAATATTGGGGATTTCCATGCATAATATTCATGACCAAACCTGAAAGTAAGGTTTATTTCTATGTTTTTATTATTTTTGTCAACAACTATTACAAATATATTTATTATTTTCCTCCTTTAAATTTCAGTCCATGAATATAGCTTTCTGAACTACTGAACAGGTATAATTATATGAATTAAGGTACTTAGCAAACAGATATGGATTCATATTTGTGAAAACCTAAATTTGGAGATGTCAAAATATAGAATATGGCATATTAAATCATATAAATTTTATATCATGCCTTTTTTTACTTCAGTTTAATTGGCTAGTATTTGGAAAGAAAATAACATTGTTCGTACCAGACCTTTCCATTTCTCTACACAAGATATTATATTGATTTATAGTTCATTGATGTTCATAAAGAGAAGTCCATTTCATCAATTATATGTTCCTCACATCTCTCCCAGGTAAAACTAATTTTACTTCCACTATAGATTATATTAAATCAATATGATCATTGTTTTATTTGTATGTTAAATTTCTGAACTTAGCATAAATTATCTAAATAGTACATATAACTATGAAGTACTGCCTTTACATAAAAAAATTTTGTTACCTTGTTTTTCATGTATTCAATAGGTTAGTCAAAGATCACATTTATAAAAACTAAGGAAAATGTATCTTATTTTAACAGGGAAAGATCTAACTACTAAAGACAGAGGCCCTTCCACAACCAAGAGTATGAATAATCCTTGAGTTCAATCTGTGGCTAACCCACTTTCTTGTGTCCAAATCCATAGCCTATGTTTCAGCATCAAAATTTCCCCAATTTAGAAAATGAGGTCAATAAAAACAGCAAAGTGTATACATTCATCCCACATAGTTTCAGGAATCCACTGCACAGTTTTTATTCCTGCTCCATCTGTAGACTCCTGTAACCAATTCTTAACATAATAATAAAAATAGAAAATACTTACTGAATGCTTTCTATTTGACAAGCACTATGGCAAGTAATTTACATGCATTGTTTCCTTTACTCGGACCATAAATCCATGAAGTATCTTTGATGATATTTTCATTTTATAGGTGAGGAAACAGTTGAAATAATTTGCTCAAGGCCCACAACTAGTACATGGAACTGAATACAAGTCTGTCTGATTCTAAAGTTTATTCTCTTAATCACTGCACTATATTTCCTATTTGTGAACATCATTACATTTCATAGTTTTTTAAATTCAGGGAATTAAATTTTAGAATCAACTTGATTCCAAAATCAAGTGAGGCTCCGTGACTTAGAGAGCCTTCCTTTCTCGGCCATTATTCCAGGAATGGTTGTCATTGAGTCAGAAGCAGGGGACAAGGGAGCATGTTTTATAATCTTCTGGGCTCACATTTTCTTCCCAAGTCTCCTATCACTGCCATAATTTTGAAGCATGAGTGTTTTTTGAATAATTTATTCAATTTCTAGAGTTCATAGTTTTTCAAATTAATTCTCATCACTTCTAGTGAGAGTATTGTTATCAAGTTAAAAGAAAAATCTAAATTGAATAAGAATCCTTGTAGGAATTGTAAGTAATGTAAAAAGGAATCATTTTCTATAAAACCCACTTAAAATAATAAATGAAGTTTCAAGCTACAATGCAAGAGAAAAAATCAGTTTTTGTGTGGTATGTGTCTGTGTTGACTTTGTAATTTTTCCAAATATGGTTTTCATAATTTTTGATACTCATAAGTATCTTCCTTATATTAGAAGAATATGGATGCACTGAGAAAAATGCATAAGACCTTAATATATCATATATAACACCCCTTTAATATATCATATACAATATCCAAGTTTGCATTTCCATCCTCAATTTTTTTATGATATCTGAAAAGAGTTTAATAGTTTCTTATTTGAGGGCTGCATTTTTTCCATAGAGAATATTCTATTAGGTAAGAACAACAAAATTATTATGTTTTAAAGTCACTTGGAGTGGTTCTCCTCTGTGAGGTTATGTCACCAAGTAAATACACTGTTATAATGTTTGATTATTACACTTTTCCTTAATTTTTTACAACCATGTATAATACTTACATGATTCCAAAATCAAATTAAAAATATATATATTCAAAGAAATTTAGCCTGTATTTTTCCCTTTATTCTCCTCTCTCTCTCCCCACTTGTAAATTTTATTTTTTGAAAAATCTACCTAATCTATTTTTCTACCTACATACTCTCCATTTTTGATAGATCATGATGTGTTAAACATACTTTTACCCATGTCAGAATTTTCATTTGTCTATTCTTGTAAAAATTTCATATATTTTTGAGATATTCTCTTTTTTTAATCCTCAATCTTTTTAAATAAAAAATTAATTGTTCTGTGGGTGTCAAATTTTAAGTGCAAGCTAAAAATAATTTATCATTATATATTTCATGTATAAAGAAGCAATTTAATGGTGGACATGGTGGTTCACACCTGTAATCCAGGAACTTTGAGAGGCTGAGACGGGTTGATACCTACCTTGTGTCCAGGAGTTCAAGATCAGCCTGGGCAACATGGCAAAACCCTGTCTGCAAAAAAATACAAAATCTTTATCAGCGCAAACAGACTAAGACAGTTTCCATTTGCATTGACAGGTTGGTGATGTTAAAAGGAAGATTTTAGTTACATTTACTTAATTTCTCAGCAGTATTTGATGCCATTTATAGAGAACCTACCATGTGCCAGGCATTATTCTATGTGCTTTACAAGTATTGACTCATTCACAGTAAATCATGATTTGATTGTAGTATACATTCTCTAAAATCCTTGGTTTCTATGTCATTATCTGGTTTATGTCTACCTTTCTGGCTACTCTGACACAGTCTCAAAATAGGTGCCTATTCTGCTACATTCCTCAATGTTTTTCAAGGTGTTATCAGCTTTTTCTCATATCACATTTCCTGCGCATCCTGAATGAGTTCATCTGTTCCCATAATTTTAATTTTTACTCCACACCATTTCTTCACCCCAGACACATATATGTAATTTACCAGAGAAGGTCTTTCCTTGAACATCCTTTGGGCATTTCATACTGAATATATTGGAAATGTTGATTTGTCATTACTTGCACTCAGTCTCCAAATATACTCCTGATTTGAAAAGTTGATGTAATCTACTCGTTTACCCAAGTCAAAAGCCCTGATATTTTAAGCGAATCTTTGTTCTTGATATCCTATATTCAATTGATTGCCAAGTGCCAATCATTATCTTTTTAATGTACTTTCCCTGAATATTATATTTTTATTTAAAATCTCTTTAATATATTTGTTGCCTTGAGCTCCTATAGCAATTACCTTAGTTCAGGCCACAATCACTGCTAGCATAAATTTCTGCCACAACTTCCTAACTAGTGTCTCTCATACCAATCTAATTTACTTTTCTGAAATGTAAGCCTAATCATAATAATTCCCTGATTAAAACCTTTTGAAATGCTTCCCGTTAAAGTCTAAAGCACAAACTTCTTAGGATGGCATAGAATGCCTTTATACATGGCCTCTGATTATCACTGTAGCTTCATTACTCTTGAAACCACCTTTGCAAAAATTGTAACAGTGAGAGAATTCTAACCTAACTGACTCCATCTTGCTTCTAATTTCACAGGTTAACTGTCCTTGCTCATTCCCGGGCACAGGCCAAACTAACTATGGGAGGAATTTAGTTTATAGCTTAACTGAAGTGAGGATAATAGTCTTTCCCAAGACAGACCCCCTCTGGGGACTGAAACCACCTCTGTAAGACTAATGAAAGGCCACAAGTTTAGGATTATGGGAAGGGCCTGAATTCTGCTAAGATGTGAACATAGCTAAACGATAACCAGCCATTTTTCCCTAGCTTGCTTACTGCTCAGGAGTCATGTGTCTGGAGGTCACAAGATTTTTGTAACTTCTGCAATTGCTCCTGTATATATCATCACTATTGTAAAACCTAAGACTGGTGTTTGAGATATTTTTCATACTTCTGCATTTGGGTAGACAAATGGATGCCACCTGGACCTGTGACTCATACCAAGGAGCTGACTCAACCCAGAGACTGACTGGGTGGGTATTACAGCACATGGAGACAGTTTGGACACTCCTATGGTTTCATCCTCAACCAATTAGCAGCACCCATTCCCTAGCCGTCTGCCTGCCAACTTATACTAAAAAGCCTAGCCCCCATGCTTTGGGGAAGGCGAGTTTGAGAAAAATCTCCCATCCTTCTTCAACTGCCTTGTGATAATTAAACTCTTTTTGTGTTGCAAGCCCTCTGTCTCAGTGAATTGGGGCTTTATCTGTGCAGCAGGAAGAAGAACCCATTGGGCTGTAACACTCCCCCAGTGGACTCTACTCTCAGCCCACATGAACCTATTGATAATCCCACAAACTACTTACAGTCCTTTCCTTATTTGCAAACTTTGCACATGCTGTTCACTCAGCCTTAAAACCTCTTCGCCATCTTTCCCCATTCCCTTGTCTGACTATACTACACTGTATTACAAACACCACTAAACACAAACACACACAGCATGACCACAGCCTTCTGGCTAGCTCCTAATGTTATTTCAAATCATCACATATCATATCCAAAAGCATCTCTCTAATTCTTCTAAGTATGGTTAGATGTCCCCTCTAAGTACTAAGTAGGAACTATGCTTTCTCTGCTTTACGATATAGTTTGGCTTGTTCTTATAACACAGTTAATGTTCAATAAATATTTGTGAAATGAATGTCTGATGCTGATGCCTGAATGTTCCTGAGATAGAGGCTTGTCATGGAGTGCCTGGAACTCTTTTCTAGCTGCATGCTTACTCCTGCTATTGAGTTTCAGGATTCTCGTACAATTTGAATAGAATACCTAGTTCCCAATGATTTTAAACTTTGTTCTTGTGTTCTTCTTGAGAGTTTCTGTGAGAAATTTGGAAGGGAAAATGCGCAATTGTTAGCTATTTGTATCATCTATAATTTGATTATGTTTTTCATACCCTTGTGCATTACTGAGCAATTGCTATGTGTGGCAGGTACTTTGAAAAGGTCATTTAAATGTTATCGATATAAGAAGGAAAAAGCCAAATAAAGTCATGTTCAGAATTGTGTGGCTTGGAATTAAGACTACTGTTTTCCCAGTTGATGTTAGCCAACTAACACAATTGGTTACAATTATCAAAACGGAATCAGGTGAGGTATCTGGCAAACACCATGCTAAAATAAACTCATTATGCCTATGGTAATTATTACATCTAATCCAGAAAAAACTATGTTACTACTGTTTCTTCTTTTAGGTGAGCCCTTTACACTTTCTACTTATGATTGCTGTTGCAAATGTTATTCCTTTTCTCCAAATACACTGCTTGATTTTCCAGTCTTTCATAGATTTTCATGAGTAATATTGAAAATAAACTGTGACTATCATATCATCAGGAAGCAGAAAAATGTCAATCCCCTCTGGAAACATCCCCTCACACACACACTCAGAAGTAACACTCTACCAGTTCTCTAAGTATTCCTTAATCCTGTCAAGTTGACAACTAAAATTAACCATCACACTGGGTATATAGCTTTTCTATGTTTTAAGGATGTGGAGACAAGGGTTTGAGGAGAATTAAGTTTACTAGAAACAATACCCTGAAATTTTTCCTAATTTTCTAGAATAAAAGGTAACTCCATACTTTGTATATAGTTTGTGCTTCCAACATACCCTGGGCACATCTCTGGCATTGTGTTTCTAAATTGTACTACGTATATCTTTTTATGTTTCTGTTTTGCTTATGGGACTTTGAGAATTTTGAAGAGAAAGCTATTTGTTATTCATCTTTATATCTCTAGTGACAATCTTATGCCTGGAACATATTTGATGCTCAACAAATTTTTACTGGAAAAAGTGGTAGAATATTTTTTACAAAGTTGGAGGCAATTTTTTTCCAGTTCACTATACAGTGCAGTATGATAGAAATGTCAGGCTTAGGGAACGAAGGAAAAGTATGAAACAACTTTGGTAGTGTTGAGCCATCCTTTAAGAGGATTAAAAGGAGAATCATGTGGCAGCATAATTACATTTTTCTTTGCATTATTTTCTACTAATTTTATGGGTGTAAATCTTATCTTCCAAAAATATTATTAATTATTGCAATAATCTCCTAACTAGTTTCTTTGCTCTGCCTTTGGCAGTTTATTCACAACCAAGCATGCAGAGAATCCTGTTAAAAATAGGTCAAAGAATATCACTCCTCTGCTCAAAACTCTCCAATTACTCCCTAATGATGCACAAGGTCTGACATAGGTGACTCCTCTCACTTCTACAACCTCTTCCACCCTGACTTTCCTCCTCTTCTCCTAGCTCACTCTGCTCTGAAACTCTGATGTCAGGTGTGGTCCTGCATCAGGGCATTTGTCCTTGGAGTGTCCCTCTCTCTGGAAGAGTCCTCCTCTAGAAATCCTGTGCCTTTCTCCTTCACCTCTTTCAGGTGCTGCTATAATTTAAATGTATGCCCTCCAAAATTCAGATGTTGCCAAGGTGATGATGTTGAAAGGTGTGGCCTTTGAGGTGTGCAGGCCGTAAGGAATTCTCCCTTGGAAAACAATTTAGGCCCTTATAAGAGGCCTCATGCAGCATTTGACTCACTCGGCCTTCTGCCTTCTGCCATGTGAAGGCACAGTGCTCCTCCTCTCTGGATGAGGCAGGGTCAAGGAGCCATCTTGGAAGTAGAGAGCAGCATTCACCCAACAATGGTACCTGCTGGTCCCTTGATCTTGGACTTCCCAGCCTCCAGAACCTTGAGAAATACATTTCTTTTGTTTATAAATTACCCAATCTCAGGTATTCTGTTATAGCAAACCAAACAGAGTGTGATAGGTGCTTACTCAGACATGAGCATTTTGGTGAGGACTCCCTTTACACCCTGTCTGAATCACCACAAACTCTAGGAGAGCCTCTCCCATACACATGTGTTTTCCTTACCATGTGCCTTCTTACTTTTTCTTGGCATTATCACTACCTAACAGATTCTGTATTGTACCTATCTTTCTTTTTGTTGTGTCATCATAAGGGAAAGGATCTCAGGATTTTGTTTTTTCTTTTATTTATTTTTCACTGCTATAAATTCCAAACCTACAACAGTGTCTGGAACTTGGTAAATGTGTTGGTTATTGTCATGTGTTGACTTAACTGGGCCATTGGAGGCCCAGATAGCTGGTTAAACATCATTTCTGAGTGTGTCGGTGAGGGTGTTTCCAAAATAGATTAGCAGTTGAATTGGTGGACTGAGTAAAGCAGATGGCCCTCCTCCATGTGGATGGGCATCATCCAAACCCTTGAGGGCTGGAAGAGGATAAGACGTTGAAGGAAGGCTGGATTTGCTCTCTGCCTGACTGCCGACCCAGGGCATCACTCTTCTCCTGCCCTTGGTGCTCTTGTTTCTCAGGCTTTCAGACTCAGACTGAAATCTAAACATTTAGCTCTCTGACTCTCAGGGCTTTGAACTACACCACTGTATTTCCTGGGTCTCCAGCTTACAGAGGACAGATAGATCATAGGGCTTCTCAGCTGCCATAATCATCTGTGCGAATACTTTATAATAAATATGTGTATGTATGATATACATATACAACTAACTATATGTGTATATATGCATATATTTATGTGTGTATATATATACATGCACACATACACATACAGTTAGTTCTAATACAGTAGACATTTAAATATGGTTGAATTAATGGAAAATAAATAAATACTTGATATAGATACTTTTTATTTTGACCTTCTGTGTTTTCCAATATCATTGTCATTTCTATATTAAAATGTATCTTCAAAAAAGAAAAGTGGTTCCTACATTGACATATGGAGGAAATGTCTTATGAGCATGAATCTTAAATACCGAAACTAAAATTTCTCAAAGGATTTATTTTTTGCAAAGCCAATATGAATAAAATATTCAATATTGAGTAAGTAATGTAACATTTTCTATACCCCAGACTACTGACTGGCCTTTTGAAGGAAATACTTTTCTTTTTAGTAGATTAATCCTAAAGAGTGTTTCTGTCTAATATATATGAACATTTCCTTTATAAAGAAAATTTCAAGTGTAGAACACCAGAGGAGCAAAACCATTAACAGTGAAATAGCTATCTTTAAAACTGTCATAGAATATAATATACCCCTGAAGAACTTCACAAAAAGAGCAAAAGCATTGTTAAATATTCTTTTTTTAACCAACAAACAATGTACCATGCTAAACACTAAAATGTAAGGCAATGTCAAGACAATGACAAACGCCTTTGAAAATTTCATCTGTTTTCCAAGACACTACATGATTTTCCAGTTTATCATAGATTTCACGTGTGCCATGAGAATCAGTTGTGACCACCCCATCGTTAGATAAAGGGCCGCAAACTGGCAGCTGACAAATACATTGGGATGACTTCCAAAGATTCCAGAAAGAAAGACTTAACCCACACCCTGGCACAACCACCACTCTGGCTAGCGTGCGCAAAGAGGAAAAGACTGTAATTGAGTAAAGCTTGATTCGACTTCCTGAAGTAGTCCAAAGAGTTTTTAAAATGAGCAAATGAGGGAAAACACATAAATAGTAAGGGCTGGAGTCAGGCTAGGTGTCTCTGTCTGCAGGTCTTTATGCCTTTTTAACATTTGTTTGTTACACCTTCTGGATAATGAAATCAAGATGTGCATTCCTTCTAAATACCTAATTGTAGTCTGTGACCTCAACCTGGTCAACAATCAAACCCTCTACCCTCAACCAAACAAATGTAAACCCTTTCAGAACAAATGTGCCTTTGAGCCAGAAAGACCTTTAACAATACTGTGCAGAGTTATTTGATGCCTGCACGGCTGAATGTTAGTCATCAGTGCAAGAGATTAACCCCTGTCCTGCTTCCTCAGATAATGGCAATGTTGAAGTAATTTGTTCCACCATTTTGATAAACCCCTTGGTTTAGTTCAATCCCCCTACATAATCAGCACATTGCTTGAAGCACATGTACAGTTAATATTGGAGCTATTTTCCAGGCCCAGAGATGACACAGATCAGGAAAATGGAACAATATGTGTGTCGGCGTACTTAACTGCACTTAACTCTTTTTAGCATGTATATGCGAGTGATTTTTTATATTTTTGCATCAAATATGAAGATATTTCATGGGAAATTTTCATTGTTTTGCTTAAATATTACTGGTTTTTACTTAAGCTATCATTTTCTCCTTTTATATTTATTCGGTTTCTGTCATTTTTGTGTATGTGTGTGGGGAGCAGAGGATGGGAATCAAGTTGATACTCTGTAGTCTACCTGAATTTCAGAAGTACTATAGAAACTAAAATTTCATGAACCACCAGAAAATCATATTTATATAGAGGAAACAACTTCAAAATATAAAATCACTTTCATTTAGAAAAGTGTCATTTTTTTAGTACTAGAAAAATCATTTCTTTATTCTAGTCTTCAAACGTAGCAATTATGAATAATCACCCTCCTCATATATATCACTCATCTCCTACTCTGCCCTGCCACAATTCAGATTATGACAGGAACTAGATGTCATTTTGAATAAAATAAAACCTACAACCATGTAAAGGTGCCTGGAAAAAACAGTCTCTCAATTAAAAACCTTGTAGGAGAAATATGTCTGGTAGTTGGTGCTTTCAGGAAAAACCTACTTATTACTTTAGTGAATTCCCGGATGTGTCTGAAGAAAGCCGCATTAAGCTGAAATAGATTGACATCTAGGGTTCTATTAATTGATGGAAGATGAGGAAAATATTTTTAAAGTAAGAATGTGTTAAATGAAGTAGTTTTCTCTTTATCTAAGGGGCATCCCTCAATAAGGTTGCAGAAAGAAATAATAAAGGAGATTCCCATACATCTGCTGTTAATCTAATTTTCTTTACTAAATCACATACATTCAAGGATCCAAAGAGGGAATAACATAAAACATTTTCTTTTGTGCTATCAAGTTATGCATGTAGACTGAATTGATGCTTTATAAATAAATAAATATATATATACATATGGTGCATCAGCTTCCCCTGCCATCCAAATCCCATCCTTTCTACATCACTGCCTGCGTCTACTGTTCGCACAGATATTTACCTTTATTATGTTTTGTTACAACAGTCATATTTTTCTTTCTTGTTGAAGCATTAATCTTTGTTATGTGCTCTAATTTTTTGCTAAGAATGTATGAATCTACGTTCCTTCCTGCTATCTCCCATTTGAACTGATTTGCTTTGTTCATTGGTGGCTTCTAGCCCTCTTAATACAAATTCTGTCAAACAAGGACATTGTAACACTATCCAGATGGCTTTAGAAGCAGGTAATTTTGGGTATGTAAATACGAAGGTCATTCATCTATAACAGATGGGTGACTTGTGTATTCTGTTTAAGAAGGTGAGTCCAGCTTATTTCAGGTTCTTGCTTCAAGAATTTAAAGTACTTTTATAGCACAAAAGGAGGCTTTAATACCCTTGGAAGACAGGTTTGGTTAGATCGTCTTGCTTATAGCAATGATATTGGATAATCTTAGTGATTCATCTTTACGATTCACTTAAGAGCAAGATATATTGGTTTTATGTCAATATTTTGCCTCTGCGAAATAATTATTTTGTAGCCTAGTTTCTTCAGAATTTCATCCTTAGTATTCATAAAAGCTACCAGATAGTGATGTCCACTTCCTGACACTCCATGAAATCTATAAATCATTTCTGACACTCTTTGCCCTCAAATTAATGCCTTTTTTCTTCATGTGAATTTAGATCAATAGCAATATAGAGAAGGCAACTCTCCAATCTAAATACTTTGTGTTTGTGATGCACAATTAACCTGTAAATTACACTGAGCTATGAGAAGAAAGACAAGATATTTGCCAATTTTGCCCATCAGTAATAAAATAAAATCAGTCCTTTTCATGTACCACTACAAAAAAACCAGGCATTATAGCATTTTATGAATGTCACAAAAAATCTATTTCAAGTTTGCAGTGGAGAGAGACAGTTTATCTTTTTAATTTGGAATAGCATGGTGACAATATTAGGGATATTTCTAGTAGCACTTTAAGTATTATAATAACAACTCTGTATGCAGTAAGAAAAACAAACATAGCTAAATCTCAGTAAGTTTTTACCATTCAATTTTCTCTTACTTTACTTAGTAAAGTGAAAAAAAATTAATAAATAATGTTGTAAAAGCTAATTGGACATCGTTCCAGCTTTTATTTTTAAAATTCTTGCTTTAAAAAAAAGGCGTTTCTGGCAATGTTCTCTTGAATATAACACCAAGCACATGGGCAACAAAAGAAAATATACATAAATTGCACTTCATTAAAATTAAAACATTTGTTTATTAAAGGACAATATCAAGAGGTAAAAAGACAACCCACAGAATGAGAGAAAATATTTGCAAATAATGTATCTGATAAGGGATTATTATCCAGAATCTGTAAAAATCTCCTACAACTCACCAACTATAAAACAAAAAATGCAATTTAAAAATGGGCAAAGGACTTGAATACACACTTTTTTCAAAGAAGATATACAATAGCCAATAAGCACATGAAAACATGCTCAACACCATTAGGGGAATACAAATCAAAACCACATACTATTTCACACCTATTAGGATGACTATAATTAAAAACAAAACTAAACTAAAGCCAGAAAGTAACAAGTGATGAATATGTGGAAAAATTGAAACCCTAATGCATTCCTGGTGGGAATGTAAAATGGTGTAGCTGCTTTAGGAAACAGCATGAGAGTTCCTCAGAAAATAAAGCATAGAGTTGTCATGAAACCCAGCAATTACACTTCTGGGAGTATACCAAAAAAAATGAAAGCAGGGGCTGAACAGATATTTGTACATGAATGTTCGTAGCAGCATTGTTCACAATCATCAAAAGGTGGAAACAACCCAAATGTCAATCAATAGATGAATGTGGTAAAAAAAAATGTGGAATATACAACGAAATATTATTCTACCTTAAGAAATTCTGATACAAAATTTTCTACAATATGAATATACTTCAATATGGATAAACCTTGAAAACGTTAAGTGAAGTAAACCAGACACAAGAGAACAAACATTGTATGATTCCACTCACATTAGGTACCAACATGACATAATTTGGATCTGTGTCCCCACCTAACTCTCAGGTTGAATTGTAATCCCCATTATTAGAGGTGGGGCCTGGTGGGAGGTAATTGGAATTATGGGAGTGGATTTCTCATGAAGGTTTAGCCCCAATCCCTTGGTGCCGTCCTCATGATAGTGGGTGACTTCTTACAAGATCTGACTGTTTAAAAGTGTGTGGCCCCTTTCTCTCTCTCTCTTCCCCCTGCTTTCACCATGTGATCTGCCTACTCTCCCCTCTCCTTCTACAATGATCATAAGCTTCCGGAGGTCTCCCCAGAAGCCCAAGGGATGTCAGCACCATGCTTCCTGTAAAGCCTGTGGAACCATGAGCCAATTAAAACTCTTTCTTTATAAATTACCTAGTCTCAGGTATTTCTTTATAGCAATGCAAGAACTACCTAATACGCTAGAATAGGCAAATTCAAAGACAGAAAGTAAAACAGAGGTAATTAAGGGCTGGGGATAGGGAGGAATGGAAATAATTGTTTAATTGGTATAGAGTTTCCATTTAGGATGATGAAAAAGTTCTTGAAATAGAGGTGATGACTGTATAACATTGGGAAAGCACTTAATGTGATTTGTACACTTGAATAGTTAAATAGTACATTTTATGTATATTTTGTTACAATTTAAATGAATAGAATTTTGGAAAAAAAAAAGAAGGTTCAACAGTATTTTCAGCTGCTTGCATAAGACAGATCTCCTTTTAGGAAGTGGGATGGATTGGACTATCACAGTTCAAGGAATTAACTCTCAGATATGAAAGTCTATATTCCTATTTGTTTTTCTCATTTTTAGACCATATTTGATTTTGACCCTGGACTACTGCACAGAATCTGCCTTTTGCATTTTTGCAGCTCCTATTATACTGGGAACAATCTCTTGGCTTTGGCTTTCATCCTAGCTGTCAATCCTATTCTATAAGCTTGCTGATCCCATGACGGGCTCCCTAGTTTTTCACAATATACAGCCTGATGTTGATAAATCCAATGTTACCACCACATGACATGACCTAGATAGCACATTGTTTGGTTTTATAGAATTTATATTCATATAAATGTAGGTTAGATGGGGAAAGTAAGTATAGGAAGACAGCCATGGACAAAAAGCTGAGTGCTATTTATTCCATGCATTCATGTGATTTATGCTAAAATTAGAAGTAACTTAACAATTCCTTTGAGCTTTCAATGAATGAGATTTCAGTGCACTCATAAGCACTCAGGCTGTTTCTCATTATCCTCTTTCCCTAAAATGATCTGTTTGTGTTTTTATTTCTTACATGAGACTGAAGGTCAGAGACTTTGTCTTACTCATCTTCATATCTCCAGTGTTTAGCACAGTGCTCAAAAACGTTTGGTTGATCTATACCATTTAATAACATAATACTAATATTTAACACAGTTTTGTTCTTGCTCTCATTTATTATTTAATTTAACCCTTAAAACAACTCTCAAAGCTGGGTACTTTTATTATTATTATTAATTTACAAACGAGAAAACTGGAACTTGGATAGTTTTGACACCTTGAAGGTAAAACATCTGAATGGTAGAATCAAACATTCATGAGGTCTCTTGATTCAAGAATCCAATATATGTTCAATGACTTCACAGTTGCTTCTCTGAATATCATCCAAATAACATTGTTAGGGGAGAACACTTTATCCATACCTTTCACTTGTATTTCCACATTAAGGAAATGGAATTCATTCTGCCCCAAGGGCAAAGGTGTGATTCAAGTGATTGGTTAAACTGAGAAAAACATATTGAACATTGATCATGCTCTGCTCGAATCAGCTCATCCCTCTTTTCCTCTGGGATCCAGATGCCCACAGATAGCACAAATTCTCCTTGGTAAGTAAGGAGTAAGTCTATTTAAATTTGGGGTTCAATTAGGTGCTCACTTAGCTTTTGTGTTAGATACATTTTCCAACTTAGTGTAAAGTAGTAAATATAGTAATTAAGTGGACACCTTTTTCTCCATCTTCCTTCCAATTTTTTACTAATTTTTCAGATTCCATGCAAGGTGT
The DNA here is from genome assembly GCF_000001405.40 of Homo sapiens. NCBI lineage: Eukaryota > Metazoa > Chordata > Mammalia > Primates > Hominidae > Homo > Homo sapiens. The sequence continues at coordinate 90,089,859 of NC_000004.12, read as the reverse complement.
TATTTATTAGACCCCCACAAAGGTCCCAACAACCTTGAATAACTCAGGTTATTTTAAGAGTGGAGTGGAGTGGAGAGAGGATAAGTTGTGTAAGGATATTGGTCAGAAGAATCTATAACTCTGAACTTCAGTGATAGCACCTGGAAGTTGTGACTGTCTAAAAGGCATCTAATAGCCACATAAAAATAATTCTGATTTTCATCTTATTATTAATTACACAAGAGAAGTCAAGCATGTGTAGGCTCCATCACTGGCGTAGACATTAAAAGGATTCTCAAGATACTGCTAGGTAACTAGGTGATCTTTATTTGTCCTAAAAGTACCAAGAGGTGCAAGCCACCTTCCTAATGAAGTTTAGTACTCGGGCAATAAGGTAAAGAAGGTATGGTACTTTCTTGCCATTCAATCAATGGATTCCAGGTACCTAAAAAATTATATCTGATGTTACATGCTCATTATATTCAATTAAATCACGCCTTACTTTTTAAATTTTAAAAAGCTTTATTTTAAAAATGCAATCATGTCTTACTTCTTCTGACATACATATTTTTATGTAAAAATCACATAGGAAAAAAATCTATATGTTTAGTGCACCTCCTCTTTTTTGTAGAAAGTTATACTGTTGGTGGGAATGTAAATTAGTTCAACCATTGTGGAAGATGGTGTGGCAATTCCTCAAAGATCTAGAACCAGAAATACCATTTGAGTCAGCAATCCCATTACTGCATATATACCCGAAGGAATGTAAATCATTCTATTACAAAGATTCATGCACGCATATGTTCATTGCAGCACTATTCACAATAGCAAAGACGTGGAATCAATCCAAACACCCATCAATGATAGACTGGATAAAGAAAACGTGGTACATATACACCATGGAGTACTATGCAGCCATAAAGAAGAATGAGATCGTGTCCTTTGCAGGGACGTGGATGGAGCTTGAAGCCATTATCCTTAGCAAACTAACACAGGGACGGAAAACCAAACATCACATGTTCTTACTTATAAATGGGAGCTGAACAATGAAAACACATGGACACAGGGAGGGGCAAAACACACAATGGGGCCTGTCAGGGAATGGGGTTGGGGAGGGAGAGCATTAGGAAAAATAGTTAATCCATGCTGGGCTTAATACCTAGGTGATGGGTTGATAGGTACAGCAAACCACCATGGCACACGTTTACCTATGTAACAAATATGCACACCCTGCACATGTACCCCACAACTTAAAATAAAAATACATTTTTTTAAAAAAAAAGAAAATTTTAACACATTGCTTGAACAACTTTTTGCTCAAATTTTTCCTTCATCTGACCATGATATTATTTCATATAATCTCTTCTTTTCTATAAAGCCTCTTCCATTATATTAGTGCAATGCAGGAATAAACCAAGTTCACTTAAAAATAAATATTAGATACTAAATCAGCTATCTAAGTTCATAAAATATTCCTAGTTTGAATTTTGTTTTCTAAGATTATAAAAGTTGATACTTCAATTTACATAATGTAGAAAATTTCTTAAATTCCCTTCCTAGTACAAATATTCTATTGTTTTCTGAATTGTACAGTGTATTTAATCCTGAACTCAATAACTTGCAACAAATTTTTACACACCAAGTCCTTTGTTTAATGTACTTGACGTATAACAGTAACTCAAAGGAGTTAATTGAGAAACACTAGCAACTAAAAAAAATCTTGCCAGGAACTTAATTTCCCTCAAACTAAAATCTATTGCAGATGACAATATATACAGGCAAAAATATGTCTATATATTGTTATGAAATGCAAAGACATTTTCTACTTTCTGTTTTATTGTCAACAGCTAGATTGGATTTCACAGAGGTTAAACACTTACAGCATATATAATTTCTAAATCAGGGTTTCAAAATTTTGAGTAAATACATTAATCAAATTTAGTTACTACAGGACTGATCAGAGTGATCTATAGACTGATATATGTTGCCATTCTCAGATGGAGATAATTGTGTGGGATTCCCCAAACTTTTTTAACCAAACATCTGGGGAGAAAAGTTTGAAAAAACTCAGTTTAGAAAATACTGTTTTAAATAATCAACCTGGAGTGAGAAGTATTGACATGTATGTAAACCAAGTTTACTTTTCAATTGCACGTGAAGGTCTGATTAGAAGCTAAGTGTATCAGTTTGGGTTTTATATACTTAATGATACCATTAAGTTATTATGATGTATATAACTTATAGCTTAAAGACTCTGATAAATTTTTAGAGGATCTCAATGATATCTTAACTATTGGTATCCCAGTTTTCATACAGCCAAACCATAGTCAGATAGAAATACGATGGCTTTAAAAAAAAGAATAAATAATGTAACAAGAAAATTTTGTAAGGAACTGATAGCAAAAAGTAGTATCCTGACCAAAGGTTACACCTCAAATTTAATATAATATGCAAGCAATTTGACCTAGAAAGTTTTTCCCTTGATTTAACTTGATTTATTCAGATATCTATGCCACTTGAAAGAACATCTCTTATAAAAATATAAAAACTACTAATGAAAGGTAACTATGATTTGAATATTTTGTACATTTTTCTCAATGTAATTTTTAGCTATTGTGGTATAGACAAATTTTTTTTAAAAGATTGTCTTGTTAAGTTGACTTTTTGTGTATGGTAATTTGTCTATAAATTGTCATCAAGCTACAAAACAACAACAAACCAAACATTTATTTTATTAACTATGTGATATATTTTTTACCCTAAAATAATTATGGACAAATGCGTTAACTAAATAATTGTGCTAAAGCAAAGCTAGATTTTATTTATTTTGATTTAAAATAAAATTTCCAATGTATAAACAGAATTGGTTATCTGACAAATATGCTTTCTGTTTCTGAAAAAAAATATTTTCAAATAACTTTCTACTTGTTCTAAAGAAAATAATATTTTGTGGAAATGGCCTAAAAACTCTAAAACATTATATTGTCTATTGAGAAAAAAATCTGAAAAAAAATCTGGAGTAGAAGATCGATTTGCTTCCAGTTTGCATACATGTAAATGAAAAACTATGCATATACTAGGCCAGCCCAGTATTTCATGTCTCCTCATGGAATTAGAGGACAAACAGGAAAAAAAAAGCCACTATTGTGAGTTTCAAATGCTTATACTAAATTTATTTATTTGATATTTTTATTAGACATATGAATATGCTGCAAAAACAAACAAGCAAGCAAACAAATAAAAAAACCATAAGCCCCCCCCCCCCACACACACACATACACACGAAATTCTCCCTTGGGAATTATACACTTTAAAGCAATTTAAATTTTAAAAGGTATATATGGGTCTCTAAACATATGGCCAAAGATCTAATAGTTCTCTAAGTATAAGACAGAGTAATTTTTCAGAGCACAGTCTTTGAGGTAAACAGTTCTAGTGGCTAAGCCTGACTCTGCAATTGATCTGTGTGATCTTAGGCAAATTATAACTTCTCTAAGCCTCAGTTTTTCCATTTAATAGACTTAGTATAAAAATATTTACATCTTTTCTTCAGGGGTTACTATAGGTATTCGATGAGGCAATCATAGTAAATATCAATTACTACCATTTAATTTGTACTTACTGTCTCTCAGTAATTATCTAAGACATATTGAATATAAAATGCTTAGCAGAATGTCACATATTCATAAATACAAGCAAATTTATTAAATGAATATAATTATGTATACAATAAGAATTATACTCCCAATAGTGAACATCAGAATAAAATATTACGTATTGCTATAATTTAAAATACAGTTATTATTCCAGCAATTTTACTTCTTACTCTATGCCCCAAAGAATTGAAAACAGTGACCCAAACATATATTGTACACCAATGTTTATAGAAGCATTATTTATAATATCCAAAAGATAGAAATAACTCAAATGTGAATCAACAGCTGAATGTGGTAACAATTGGAAAGTGGTATACAGAAACAATAGAATATTATTCAGCCTAAATTCCGATACGTGCTGCAACCTTGAAAACTGTGTGCTATGTGACATAATTGAGACACAAAAGAACAAACACTGTACGATTCCACTTACATGAGATACCTAGAATAGGCAAAATCAGAGAGACTGAAAGTAAAATGATAGTTTCTAGGGACTGAGAGAGAAGAGGGAATAGGGAGTTATTGTTTAATGGATACAAAGATTCTGTTTGGGATGATGCAAAAGTTCTGGAAATGGAGAGTGGTGATGGTTACACCACATTGTGAATGTACTTAATGCCACTGAATTATACACTTAAAAATGGTTAAAAGAGTAAGGCTTATGTTATGTATATTTTAACCACAATTTCAAATGTAAAAGAAAAATATTATTAGAACAATCAAAGGTAGCAATCTGTTTAAAGACGGTGTTTGAAGGCAGTTTTATATTTATTCTTGTTTTGTGATTTTGAGAGCCTGGTATATTTCTAGCACCAACATTTCCCCACATTAGATATTGACGATTCAAGGGTATTGGGCTGTGACACACAGATTCATCTTTAGAACAGAAAATCTTCAGCAGCTGCTGGAATGTTAGGGGCTGACAACCCTCAGTTCTCAGCCCTGTCAGAAAATTGCCTTCGGGTGGAGAGCTATCTTGCCCGTGGTCAGACTCCCTCTCCAAGGACAGCTTCCATCCAATAAGCAGTGAAAGAGGGAATAGAAAAGCCTGTCTCCTCGCCATGACGTGGGACAACTTGAGAGAGTAACATTTAGAGCTCCACATAGGGTCCCCTGAGGTCTTCGTTGAAACTGCACTGTAGCCCAGCTTCTCCCTCTGTTCAATCTTGTTTCACTATCTGCCTTCCACAGATATTGAGTCTAGCACTCCCTACTGAACTTCTTTAATGCTCACTTCCCTCTCAGAGTAACTATTCATTGAAGAAAAGAGAATACCTAAACATTTCTAGGTCACTGGACACAATGTCCTTGTTGACATTGAACTCTAGGGAACTAAAGTGCCATCAAGAGCCCTCTGTTGCAGGAGGGCAAATATAGGGTCAAGTATCAAATGAAGTCTTGGCCAAAGTCTGGCTTACAATGGTCCACTCTGTTCATGAATCCTGTTCAGTGCTAATGGTCCCACTTGGCCACGGTCTAGCTTACAGTGGTCTACTCTGTTCATGTACCCTGTTCAGTGCTAATGGTCCCATTTCAAGTATATTCTTAGGGAGTGGGCACATTAGCACTGAACTCTGTTTAAGTTAAGCAGAACCTCTAAAGTGTTCTCCCCGTCAAGACTGCACATCAAAAACAACATTGTATTGCTTAAGGAATGGCAGAAATTATTGTCCTAAAGGAGGCAGTGCTGGTAGTCTCTGCCCTATGTCTATGTAAATAACATTTCCTGTCATCATCCAGGAACCCCTACAAAAGCAGGTGGCTTCTGGATGACAACAATCAGCTACTGACTCAGTCAAATTATAGCCCCCATTGCCTACTTGCCTTTGCTGTTCTAGATGGGCTGTTTCTGCGAGCACAGATAAACACATCCTCAGGTTCATGGTATGAGGCCTTTGATCTGAAAAATGTGTGTGTGCTTTTAACTCTTCAGAAAAGAAGAACAGAAACAATTAACATTTCCTTGGAAGTGACGATAGCATACATTTGCAGTCTTGCCCAGCACTAGGTTAACAGTTTTTCTCTCTCTATCAAAGAAATCTGGACTGGCCGCACATCCTGAAGAACATCCTGCTGGCACGTTACACTGCTGACATCATGCTAATCGAACCAAATAAATAAGAAATGACAAGTATATTGGAGGCTCTAGTAAGACAGATGTGCTCCAAAGGGTAGGGAATAAACCAAAAATATTTTCAGGGGCCTGCCACATCCCTAACATTTTTAAAGGTCATGTGGTTTAAGGAATGCTGGGCCAACACCAAAGAAAAAGAAAAATTTTTGCACCTCACGTCTCCCACTACAAAGAAGAAAGCACATCACCTGATAAGATCCCTTAGGTTTTGCAGGCAGCATATGCCAAAACCCAGGAATATTACTCTGGCCTCTGTACTGGGTGGCATGAAAAGCTGTCAACTATGATTAGAGCATGGAGCATGAGAAGAATCCAGCAGCAGATCCAGGCTAGAGAGGGCAAGGACCTTGGCCACTTAGGACACATGACCCAGTAGACCCTGTGATATTAGAGGTATCTTCGGTGAGAAAAGATGATGTGTAAGGTTCATGACAAGCCCAATAAGGTCATCAACATAGTCCTCTATGATTCTGAAGCTGTCTGCAGAGGAAAATGCTTCACCTTTTGAAAAACAGCTCTGGGTGTGTTTTAGGGTTCTGGTGAAGATGGAGTGCCTGACCATGGGTCTTTAAGTGAGCATGTGGCCAGAACTGTCCAACATAAGCCAGTTCTCTGTCAGGCTCACCAGTTCAGCAAAGGAGGCCTGATGTTAATCATCAGAAGACTTTAGGGCTGTGGTTAGCAAGGGATTATAGGGAGAAATATGTTTAGCCCCAGTATATCCCTTTAAGCAACTCTTGGTTAATTAGATAGTTCTACATATCTAGCCTTTCTTTCCTTTTTTTTTTTTTTTTGAGATGGAGTTTCACTCTTGTTGCCCAGGCTGGCTCGCAGTGGTGCAATCTCAGCTCACTGCAATCTCCGCCTCCTGGGTTCAAGGGATTCTCCCGCCTCAGCCTCCTAAGTAGCTGGGACTATAGGCACTACTACGCAAGGCTAATTTTTGTATTTTTAATAGAGATGGGGTTTCACCATGTTGGCCAGGCTGGTCTCGAACTCCTGACCTCAGGTGATCCGACTGCCTCTGCCTCCCAAAGTGCTGGGATTACAGGCGTGAGCCACGGCACTTGGCCCATATCTAGTCTTTCAAGAGCCAGCAAAGCCTGTCTGTAAGATGTTGGATGATAAGGTACCTTTTCAACAAATCATTTAATTCATGGAGATCATTCTTTTGGAGCATTAGAATTTATGTATAATTGAAGCACTCCACCTAGAAAATTGATACTAGCACCCACTTGTATTCTGATGGTGACAAAACACAGACTCAAAATAATCTCATTTTTCTGTTTTAAATTTCAAAATTACTTTATTTCTACTACTATTATCTACTGTTTACATTGCAAACACTATTCTATGCATTATATGCACAATAGCCTAGAACTAATCTTGCAAGATATACATAGCCTATCCTCAAAATAACCTTACAAGACAGATACCATTAACATTTGCAAATACTGAGCCTCAGAGGGATTCAAACTTTGCCTGTAATTACCCAACTTATAACTGGCAGAACTACTATGAACCTGAATCCACAAGTTATTAAAATTCCCTCAAATTTTCATTTTCTCATAAGTTGTAATTTGGTCCTAGCTAAGAAAAACTAAAATAATGCCATAAAAGCATAAGGTTTTTTACATTAACCAGACCAGGAGTTATGGTGTAGTGGTAGAAGTAGTAAAAGCAAAACCTGAATTGCAGAAAGCTAGAACAAAGAATAGGTAATGAAATAGCTAAAGCATGAGTAAAAATCTCCTCCAAGAAGCATGGCTTTGTAGAGATTATATGGTAGCTAGAGATGCAGCTTGGATCCAAGAAAGCTATTTGTAGTTGTGTATGAATTTTATTGTGTTTTGCTTTTGTAAAAGTAGAGTAGGCCATGCCTGTATCCTGATTCAAAGGATTCCCTAGAGAGAAAGAGACTGAAGAATAGAGAAACAGAAGGAAAAGTTAATGAAGCAAGATCTTTAAGAAGACAGAAAAGAATGAAATGTAGCAAATCTTTGGTACAAAGTTATACTGCTTCACTGCAGCGCTTCTAAATGAAAGGTTACCGCACCAGCGGTTCAGCCTCACTTGAGAATTATTAGCTTTGCAAATTATCAAGCTCCATTCAAGACTTGCTAAACCAGAAATTCTCCGGTAGGACCCAGCAATCTAAGGTTTAACAAGCCTTCCAGGTGATTCTCACCTATACTAAAGTTAGCAGACCACTGCTGCATTGTGTTAACAGGCAAGAAAAAAGCCAGGTGCAAATGGATGTGGACTTACAGGGATTCAGCAGAGAAAGTTTTGGTGGAGTTTCCATCTATTGTATCTCTCAGTCATTAGGCATTTTCTACCTTCAGGACCTACTCTTTCCACACTCCGTCTCCCCACCCAGCAAAAAGGCAAGAATTTTAGCTGGCTTCTCTTTCAAAATGAAGTCTCAAAAGAGGATGGGAAGCAATCGCGATCAAAGCCCAAGGACTTCCAGACCGGGTTACACAACCATCAGGTCAGCAGGGGCAGAGCAGAGTAGGTCCCAAAACCCATGGCAGATCCTAGGGTGACTTTTCTTTTTAAGTTAAGTGCTATCTTAGAAAGGAGAGAAGGTTAGTTTAGTCTGAAAGTCAGAGAATTGTTATCTAAAGAGATTAAACCCTGCATTAAACACTATTACGTGTTTGCTCAAATTATGTTTAAAATGAATTTGGGCAATCTCCCCGCCCCCAACCCGGCCCACCCCTGCTGCAACAACACAGAAAGTTCAGGTTTCAAGTTCAGACTGGTAGTAGACAAAAATAAGCAGACTATATTTTTGCTTTAGATTTAAATGTAGTGTGAGTAAATCTGTGACACCATTTTCTATATTTAAGCAAGTAACTTAAATAAATTAGAGGGGAAAAAAAGAGATGCAATGTTCAAGCTAATGTATATTTCACCATGATATTCTCGGCAAAATTATTAATATAGGTTTATTATGTATTATATAATGAACATAAAAATCCTTTAGAGGGTGAAAATGTATTTTTTTCTGTGACAGAAGAATATGCATTAAAATGCAGAAGAGAATGGAAACTGCCTGAATCAATTAATTTAACTTAAAAATTAGTCAAATACATTTTAAGGAAGATAAATAGCGTAAATACTATGATATATGTAACAAATTTGCTAAGTAAAAAGCCTTTTTTGTGTACTGTGATATGATGTATATGTTAATACTCAACATAGAAGACCATCTGGTTTTTTAGACTTGTGTTATATACACGTATGATATCCATACCAATTAAATGGTTACACATGTTTGATGTGTGTAATGGATGTTAACTTACAAGCAAGTTCTATACAGAAAGAAACAAAACCAACAGTGTCCAAAGCAGGATATTTCTAGAAAAACACTGCAGAAATTATAGGAAGAAGGGAATGCCAGATTGCAAAATTGAAGGGATTGTCTGTTGCCCAAGAAAAAACAGCATTTTAAAACAAAAACCCAATTTTAAAAAAGATGTTTCTGTATCAGAACAGAGTATTTAAGTGTAAGCATGTCTTCTTTGTAACCACAAAGGTAAATTTCATATACAACTTGACCACCATTTACTTTCTCTCTCCTTGACTTCATATTAATTTGCTACATTTGATTTTTTATCAGCTTAGGTGATTTATAATGAATTTATAATTGCATTTGTGATGTAATGGGTTGGACAATTCTGATAACAGAAAAATTATGTTATCTAAACGAGACAATAAAATTATATGTTGGTAATGAGAATGAGATTTTGCTTGTACCATTTTGTACCCTGCTGCAATCTTGCATCAAGCTCCTTTGAGTTACACATGCAACTCCTATTACCACTAATTGCAGTTTCACTACACAGACACATCAAAAGAAAAGAAACAGACCTCCTTTGTGCTGTGGGTTTTGTAATCCTTTTTATATTGTATAATGAGATCCCATTCTTCTTTCACATTTTAGGTACCGGATGTTCTTATTCCAATATTTACCTATTTCTAGTTTTCCTTTATTCTTTGAAATTCCTGGAAATGTTCAGATAGATGTATTAAAATGAAAATAGTTAATTATACTTTTCAGAATATGCTTGATTCTAAAATGAAAAGAAAACCTTGTGAAGGCATATATCTTTTTATCTTTAGAATTAATATAGTTGTAAACACAATCTAGAAATTGAGATCCATATAGGAATTTAATAATGTAAAAATGCTCAAAAATTACTTCAAGATTTGTGGTCATACGGATGTAATCTTTTACTAGTTTGAAATATAATAATTATTTAAACAATATTATGGTTCACATGCAGAGTATTGAAATCAGGGTACCTCAGCTCTGTTGTTAGGCTATGCCCTTATCCTTTCTGAAAATTCTCAGGCTTTGGTACACATAAATAAAATCTGTACTCTACGGAACCTTTCAGTATCAATGAGATATCACATATACAGGAAAGGCAGGCATGCATGTCCCTCCATACCTGCTCTGCCATGTTCCCCATCAGAGATGGTACCACCGCCCATTCTATTGCACAGGCCAGAAACCTAATAGTCATCCCTTCCACCCCTATTTCCTCTGCTCTTTGTTCCACCTCTATTATAGACTCTGAGTAGTTTTACCTTCTAAAGAGCTCGTGATTTCAACAACTTTTCTTATCACCATAATCAAAGGTTAGCAAAGTTCCTTTGGCTTCATTTCTGGACTGTTGCAGAGACTCCAAAGTGGGATGTCTCTATCCGGTTGACCCATTTCTCTCTTCTCTTCACATTGAAAATATGTCTTGCTGAAAACTCAAACATCAAAACTCAAACTTCTTTCCTGATTAAAATATTTCAATGGTTCCTCATTACTTTTCAGATAAAGTCGAATTTCCTACAAGCCTCTAGCCTGGCCTGCTTCTCCGCCAAGTGTTGCACTGAACTGCGCTGGCTCTTTGGGCTGGTCTTTTCTCCTTTTTTCCTATTTGGCATGCTCTGCCCGACCACAGGCCTTGGCACACACTTCCTCTTCTACCTGAAGCTTGTTGCTGCCCCCTTTCCCAACATATAGGTGCACATGTGTCCACACACATACTCCTTTAGAACCTCATTCATTCTTCAGATTTGCAGTACAAATCTTACTCCCTCAAATATCTGTGATTTCTCATATCAGGTAAAATACTTTCTCCTAGTACTCTGTACTTCTCAGGAGTCCTTCTTTCACTTCTTTTAACAAACATTTAATGAATAATTAAATGATGGGATAAGTAGGCATGATTCCAGGCACTGGGGAGCAATAGTCAATTAGATAAGATCCTTGATCTTAGGGGCTTCTGTCCTAGTGGAACACATGCAAAAAATAAACCAAAAAGCAACTCAACAAACAAATAAGTGCTATGATGAAACTATAATAGGATAGAGTGGTAATGACTATTGAGGGGAAGGATCTCCTCTAGGGAGAGATTTTGCTGATACTTGAATTATGAGTCAGTTCCATTTCCTTATTTGGTAGGTAGATTAACTCTTATTTATCTGTCAACTTGAAACTCCATGACAGAAGTAGCTATGGCAATTTGCCCAGTAATTCTATAACTTAGAAGGTACTCTGGAAATATTTCTGAATAAATAAATAAATGGAAATATCAAAAGTTTTAGCTCAAGCCTATCTGAATTCAAGTCTTGGTTCTCATCTTCAGCTTGGTCAAATTACTAACCGCCCCCATCTTCAATTTCCTCATTCTACCGATGAGAATAATAATGTCTGTCAATCAATTAAATTATTATATATATCTCAGCCACCAGCTTATGATTTTAACTATCGTAAATCCAAAGGTGTGTGTTCCTAATTTGGTGTTTCTCCTCTTATGTCTGAATCAAGAAGATTTTTGTTTTTAAATTCAATGACAGCCCCTAGCATTTAGTTTTCTCATTTGTTAATTAAAATAACAATACCTATGTCTCATGATTGTTTTGAGAAATGAATGAGGCATTAACCTATTAAGAATCTTAGTTCAGTTTCTGGAGTGGTAGAGACAAATTTTTATGTTATTTTATTATAAAAAGTACATCAGAGTAGTACACAAGAGTAAAAGCAGTACACAAGTTCACAGAATTATTACTAGACAACAGTTTTTAAAATGATTTTGCTATAAAAAGAAATAACTAATTTAGATTCTTACAGTGTATATACAGTGTGTGTATTTATATATATATATGTACTTCCTGAGGGAATATCATACATACTAATATTTATATGGTGTTTACAAAACTCTTCTGTAAATATTCTTTCATTAGACCCTCAATAAGAAACTTGGAAGGCAAGTATTGCAAGTCATAAGGAACCTCGTTTTGAAAGAGCTAAAAGGCAGTGGCCAGACTCTTAGGTTACATGCCTTATCCTGTTACTAACCATAAGCAGTGCCCTGATTTGTCAGCAGGTGTTGGTACTGAGGGTTCAACTCTCAGCTGCTGGAGAGGCAGAGAAAAGGAAAGGAAAGGTAACCTCATTGCTACTTCCAGAGTATGGTACTGGCAACATGATCAGTTGGTGAGGGAAGATAGATTTTTACCTTCACATTCCCTTAGTCTTTTACAGTTCACTGCCTAAGCCTGCTTGAAACTCTACATTTACTTAATCCTTCCAGCAGAGAACAATCACTGTGAGTTTTCCCACTGACATACTTTTATTTGCTGAGATTTCATTCTTTGCAGGTTGAGAATATAAAAATTTAAAGGGACAGACTTATAACTACTATAAATCACCTCCTTCATCCCACAGGAAAACAAAGTACCCTACCTCAAGAATTGTTTAAAAGTATTTCCAGAAAATGTATTCTACATAATATATAAATACTTTGAAAAAATGAAAATAAAACCAAGGAAAGAGCTAACCTTGCATTTTCACAGATCAAAATGTTCATTCAAGTAGTATTTGTTGAAAAATGGCAGTGTCTATGGCGTGAATGATGATATTCACCATACTCTGTGAAAATCTGATAAAAGCGTTTGGGATATGACTAAAATTTTTGTTTGACCGAATTTTGAGTTTCTATGATAATGTCAGTAAATCCCAATTAATCTCTAGTCTAACATTTTGTAAATATTTCCATTTAATACTGAATGCTTACGTTTCTGAAAATGAATTATTTGTACATTCGCTAACAGAGAACAAGTTGTAGGTGAATGAAATAGGACTAATGTTTTTATATTTATTCTCTAACGTTCTATGAATTAATGATTCTATGATACCTGATCATGTGGTTAAAATTCACAAATGTTTTATGTCTGTGATATTTCAATTTAGATACAAAGAAATTTAGGAATGATAATAATATTGCAATGTTCTCCACAAGCTAACACAAGAGAACTTTGGACAATTGGGTTTTCCTTGGTCCAGGCTGAATTTTAAAATGTCATGACAAGAATATGGCAAAGGTGAAGGATCCTTTCAGATGTAAGTAAGCTCCTAAATCAGTTGATTTTGAGTTCATCAAAAAGTAAGGAGATTATCCTGGGTGGGCTTGACTTAATCAGATGAAAGCCTTCAATTAGACCCTCCTAAAGACCTCCAGAAAATAAGCTACCCTCTTGTGACAGTGCCTGCAGGAGCCTCTGGGAGGCAAGTAGGGTCCCTTACTGATGACAGCATGGAAATGGGGACCTCAGTCCTACAACTGCAAGGAGCTGAATTCTACCAACAGCCATGTGAGCCTGAAAGAGAACTCTGAACCTAGGAAAGGAATGCAGCCTGAAGATACCTTGTTGGTCATTGAATGAGTCCAGGCTAAGCCATGCCTGGAATCCTGACCCTCAGAAACTGTAAAATAGTAAATGTATGTTGTTTTAGTCCATTTGAAAAAAAGAGCTATTAATGAGTTGTGACTCCTACATTAGCTATACCCACATAATTTCTTGGGTTTAATTACCACTTACTACACAGCCACTGTGTTTCAGGCAATATTCTAGATACTGAAGACTACGTGTTTTAGTGTAAATGAAACCATTAAATAACTCCGAGTGTTTCCTCTCTGATTCAGAATAACATAGTGCAAGTGTAGTAGTCTCTCCCTAATCTCTGCTACTTCACCCCAGCTTCACCCCTAACACATCCAAGCTCTCGGTCCCAGCATGATGAATGCCAGCCTCCAGAGCAGTCTTTTCCTCACTCAGTTAGGTAGAGTATATTTTTATAAAGGGGCAAAGCATAAGTAGCTTGTGTCCTGGGAATCACAACACAGACTTTTTACTGTCTCCTTATGTTGTTATTATTACTATTATTTTTGAGACTGAGTCTCGCTCTATCGCCCAGGCTGGAGTGCAGTGGCGCAATCTTGGCTCACTGCAACCTCTGCCTCCTGGGTTCAAGTGATTCTTGTGTCTTAGCCTCCCGAGTAGCTTGGATTATAGGCACCTGCTACCACACCCAGCGAATTTTTGTATTTTTAGTAGAGACGGGGTTTCGCCCTGTTGGCCAGGCTGGGCTCGAACTCCTGACCTCAGGTGATCCACCAGCCTCAGCCTTCCAAAGTGCTGGGATTACAGGCGTGAGCCACTGCACATGGCCTTTTTATGTTTATTTTTCCAACTTCTTAAAGTTCTACGTGTTACAAATTGCCTACTGGAGTTAGGATACTTATTTTTACTCTGATGTAATTTCCTTCTATGACTTAAAAGACTTACTTTCTTGTTCTAATTGCTCCAGACTTCCCTCTAAAGTCCAGTTTGTCTCCTTAGCAAGTCTTACTGGGTGAATTGCACTGAACCCCCTTGCCAGTGCTGGGACCTCTTTATTAAACCTGCCCTATTGCCTCTTCTGCTACCTCATGGTTGAAGGTTACTAATAAAGGCAAATCATTAGTAACAGCAAATATAATTCATTCATTCTTCAGTCTTTCATCCCCTGTCATTAGAAATTGCTCTTTACTTCCCTAAAAGACTGTGACAAGATGTTATCTTGGTAACATCAGACATCTTTGGTTCCAAAATTAATTTTGAGACAAGCTTGGGATATTTTAGTCCAGTCATTTCTGTGATAAAATGATATTTTTGAGATTTTAATCTAAGTTGTTTTCATTTTCTTCCTGTATTATCCGTTTCTTCCCTCTGCTCTCATCCACACAAAACATGGAGACCCCTGCATTTCTTTGCCTTAAAAGGCATTTGAAACAGACTAGAAAACAAAACCAAAAAAATGATATTTACTTCCCTTTTTGTCAATTTTGCCCCCGGAAAACATAAGTCTATATTAGAATCCCTAAGCAGAGTAATATGAAGTGAAAAGATTGTGTCTAAACTAGGAAGACATTTTCCAGGGCTGAGGTAAGGAGAGCTGAGAAGGCAAAGACTGCGAATCTTGGGAACAGAGCACGTGAGTCTTGCTTACCTGCAGTGCCACCAGGAAATTAGCATGTTCCCAGTGAGGAATGTGGGCAAAGGCTTTTAGCAAATGGGACCAAACATAGCCTCACAAACTGCCTGTGCTCCAAGAGCAGCATAGAGACACAGCATAGACATTCCTCTTTCTAGAGCTTTTGGCCAGCCCTTTCACCTGCCCGAATGCTCTCCCTTCTCTCAGCCTATCCATATCACACTCCTCTCAAGCCCCTCCTAATCCACTTAGCTTCTGTCTTAACCTCTGCCCTTGTGTATGATCACTCCACTGAACACCTCCCCAATTTTATTGGTGTCACTCATTCAGCACTTAATCCTACTGCCTGCTAGCCTGTCATCTAATGCTGTGTATTATTTTTCACTCATTTATCAATTTAAATTAAAATGCAAATTTTTTGAGTTAAAAACAAGGCTTTAAATTCTTACTTTATTACAGTGGTACCCACAAAAATTAATAGAAATAATGTACAATGAAAGAATACTAAAGGTGTTCTAAGAAGAATCATGCTATTCTAGCTCCTAAATCAATCTTGAAATACCCATAAAATAGAATTTTATGCTCAAACTACAATCACATTAGAGTTTTACACATAAAAATGCAATATTATAGAATCACTCTTATCTAGAGGTACAAGGTGAAGCACAAGGGATTTTTAGGGTAGTGAACATATTCTGTATGACAGTGTAATGGCAGATTCATGGCATTATGTATTTGTGAGAACCCATAGAACTATACAACACAGAGTGAACCTTAATGGAAACTACGGACTTTAGTTAACAATAATGTATCAGTAGTAATTCATCAAATGTATCAAGTGTACTACACTCATGCAGGATGTTAATAATAGGGAAACTGTGTACGTGTAGGTAGGGAGGAGGGTATATGGGAACTGTATTTTCTGTAAACTTAAAACTTCTCTTAAAAAAGCCTATTATACAAAATACAACATTATAAAATCACTCCTATCTAGAAGCTTGTTGTTCCAAGAATATATAAAATCTCCCTTAAATAATTTTTTAAAAACAAAAAATTTGAATATTTTATATACTGATTTCTTTCATTTCTGATGGCCCTTTTGCTCTCTATATTGAAATGGATATTTTATTACAACAGCAAGATAGCAGCAGTTGTTCACTCATGGCTAGCCATATGTGTACTATAGCAAGATCATCATATCTTATTTCTACTTAAAAATCATGCCTATTACCTGCTAATTGCCATGTATTGATTTACTTAAGCATCCATGGCTGCTGTATGAGAAAGATAACACTTGGCTCTAGGGGGTCTGAAAATTCTTTACACTGTCAGTGACCTTAACTGAAAGGGTAATTAATCTGAACCTCCGGATGGCATTAAGAGACTTAGACCTTTCATTCTTTGTGAAAAGCCTCATCTTTAGCGATGTGAGCACACAGTTCTATTTACTGAGAAAACATTTTATATTAACTTATCTCCTTCACTTTTATGATCAGCTGCCAGAATTGCAGGTTTTCTATATCCAAAGAAAAGAAAAGGAGACAAAAGACTTAGTATATTGTAAGGAATTTGTTTTTTTTCTTTGGGGTTGTATCTGCTCATAAACAGAGTTAGCCTTATTGGCAGTGGCCAAGCCACTCTATTTTCTTGTCTAGTTTTTTCATATGCACAATGAAATAATAAAACCTGCTAGTTTAGGATATTAAAATAAAATGATAAAAAATATATTTAAAAAAAAAATTTTTTTTTTTTTGAGATGGAGTCTCACTCTGTCACCCAGGCTGGAGTGCAGTGGCATGATCTTAGCTCACTGCAATCTCCACCTGCTGGGTTCAAGCAATTCTCCTGCCTCAGCCTCCCGAGTAGCTGGGACTACAGGCATGCACTACCACGCCCAGGTAATTTTTTGTATTTTTAGTAGAGACGGGGTTTCACCATGCTGGCCAGGCTGGTCTCGAACTCCTGACCTCCTGACCCACCTGCCTTGGCCTCCCAAAGTGTTGGGATTACAGGCGTGAGCCACCGCGCCCAGCCGACATTTAAAACTTATATAAGCCTAGCATTTCTTTGTTTTTCTTTGTTTTTGCTTTTAAAGAATCACTCGAGAGTTAAAATATGTCTAGATTATCTTTCAAACTTTTTCACTTCTTTATTGTTTGGTTGTCACCTGGTTTCTCAAAACATGCAAGACAAGTCAGGCATAGTGACAAAAACATGAAAATAAAAGCCAATGCAATGAAACATCAAATAACATACCTACATTTTTTAAAAGGTGGACATATTTCCTGATACAAGTGTTCTTCAATGTGTTCTAGTAATTGTATTTTGATGTCCAATAGGAAAATGCAAAAATGATTTTTCTTTTGATAAACATTTTTCTATGTGCCTTTGGTTTGACTGATACTTGTAACTTGCCAAATGACATCTTAAAAAAAAAAACAGAACTACTGATTACAAATGATTCTAACAAACCAGACAAAGAAAGTATAGGGGACATTGTA
The DNA here is from genome assembly GCF_000001405.40 of Homo sapiens. NCBI lineage: Eukaryota > Metazoa > Chordata > Mammalia > Primates > Hominidae > Homo > Homo sapiens. The sequence continues at coordinate 90,072,261 of NC_000004.12, read as the reverse complement.
ATGTGTTACCTAGCAGGAAAATTCTTGACTTCCAGATTCTCTCAGGCAATCTATTTTAGTCCAACTCAAGTGCATTTCTAGTCATTTTCTTTACTGATCAGCACGTCGCCAAACTAATTGAGGATTCCATGGCTTTAAGAATCCTGAAATAAGCCATCTTCTTTCTACCCACGTATTTTTTTTTTTTTTTTGCAGAGCTGACACTTCTGCTTCTTTAGCAAGTGCCACTTCTGGAACTACGTTCGTGTCTCTTCCTCTTTTTATTTCCCTCAGAGGTTTCACGAGGATACATTTTTGCATGTAGATATGCATGCATTATTTTTCACTTCAGTAAAAGTCAATAGCTACCAATGGATAGTTGCGGCTAATTTACTGTGGAATAGCAAAACATATTAGGCAGCTGTAGGAACACACACTTATGTTGAATTGCCTGACTGAACAGTGAGCAACAAATAGAGAATAGGGTTATGGGGAATGGGATATGAAGCAGTAGGCTACAACCAGTCACAGTAGTGTTTAAATTAAGCATATTGTTAGCAGGGTAAAACTAAAGGTCCCTTTGAATCTGGCATACACGAACTAATGACAGCAGAGCATCAGTCAGCCATGCCTTCTCCATCTGCAGTTCATATGGGAGAGGAGAGTGGATGGAGAAAGGGAGGATGGCGGAGGCCAGCAGGAGACAACCACATACCAGAAGAGTAAAGTTACAATACACGGAGCAGTGCTCAAAGAAGAGCTCTGCTACCAGTCTCCATCTTTTAGGTTTCAATGTGCATAGCCTTGGCTTAGCTTCCTCTACAGAGATTGCTAGTGTTTACAAGAAAGGTAAATGCCAGCGTGGAGAAGCACAAGTAGTATCAGCAGAGTCCTGCTTCTCCCAATACCTAGAGTTTTCATATCACCCAAAGATAGTGATTACAAAACTTATTTTCTCCATGCTATATTAAAGAGTTATAATAATTAATACTAATAGGATTATAAAGTGAGTTTGAAAAATCACAAATTCACTGAATTCAGTTCTGCATTGCTCTGTACATGCATCCTAGTTAGAAATATATATGAATCAAAATTGTATATAATTTTTTTTCCTAATTACTATCTACCCCAGGTAGGTAAGATTAGAGGATGTTAAGAGAAAAAGTTTTAGAACAAATGAATAGGTGACTTAGGTCAGGCTTAAGTGACCAAAATGTGTTAGCAAGCAACTTCTACCAAATGGTTTCTTTGTACCATAGCATAGCTATCAAGACACTTACAAATTGTAGAAGTCCTTAAAAACTGTGAAAAATCAGATGAAAGAGGTGTAATGTGGCCTTTGCCCCAGTGGACTTACCATACACAGGGTGTGATCTGCAGAATAAGAGAGAACATCTAATTTGTAGAAATAGACCTATATGAACTAGCATATAGTGGTTGGTGTGTGAAACAGAACCTCAGTTCATTAATTTGCAGGCATCAAGCTGACCAGAATACTTAAAATGGCCAACCACAACAGTGAACTTGGTATCAGAACAAGTTGGTTTATCCTAAGCGACTTTTAGCTAAGGTAGCTTGAGTTGTTTTCACATACAAGACCGATACACTACCCAAAGAAACCTTCCCACTTGAGGCAGCTTAGCAGAGATTCAGTCCACCCGGGGCAGCGAGTGGATGCTCTACCAACTTGTGTTTCTGAGTCTTTCCTTTCCTTATGCTTCCATGGCTCAGCACCCGTACTCTCTTCCCACAATTTTTCTTCAAATAGGATAAACCAATTACATCTCTATGTAGTAGATTAGACACACAAACAGTATTGTTTCTAAAATGATTCTCAGATCTCTTGTTTCCTTAACATTAACTTACACTTTTATGAACAATATCTTGATTTTCTAATGCAGATGGCTGATGTAGTCGTTTAATTTGGATTTGATAAATTGAACTCCCTTAGGGCAATCTTATTTATAATTATGTTGTGAGTATCTCACCATAACCCCTATTATCCTAACAGTAATACCAATTAGCAGAAATTTTTCTTATTTGCAAATGCCAACATAAATGTAGAATAAATAAACATGTAATATGATGTTAAAAATTGTATATCAACCCCTGGAAGGCAGATTGGTAGGAGGCAGGTTGGTAGAAAGTTGTGGGAGGTGTCGGTATCTGATAGAGATTTTTATCCTACCTTCAGCATGTTTTAACTCTATGAACTTTGACAGGTTATTTAAACTCTCTCTATTTCTTCATTTCAAAAATTAGAGGTAGTGAAAATAATAATTGCTTCATAGAGTTGTTATGAGGATTAAATGAAGCTAATGTTTCTTGACACAAAGTAAATACTGCATCGATGTTAGTTCTTACTAATTATAAACAAAATGGTTATAACTCAAGCTGATAAATGTCTCTAAGCATTAAAAAAAGTTTTCGTTTTCAAAAACCTAAAAAAAGATTCTTATAGCTCTAAGTACCAATTCTGGTGCCTTATTTCTATTCCTTGTTCTTGACAAAATTGTCTTAGTCTCAAGATCTTTTTCAAATATATTATAATCATTGTAATAAAGACACAGGATCCCAAATTATTTCATTCATTTCTCAAAAGAAAAAGGCTTTTATCTGGAAGTAACAGATATTTTGGTAGATTACAATTGTCTGGCATTCTCTAAACTTCTAGATCTAAATTACAGCTTTATTTTCCTGACTATTTGAACAAATCGGGATTATTGCAAGGGGAGGATGGCAGAGAAGGTGCACATTACCAACATCACTTCCAATACTTGGCATAGAAAAATCAATTCTTGTCCTTCCAACAATAAATAAGAAAACTATCTACTTAGTACTTCTTTCTCTGGCAATGTGCCTGCTGAGCTCATATCTGCTAGATTACAAGAATCCTGTGAGTCAACCCTAAGGTGGAATGAATTGGTAAAAGGCAGACAAAGAGAACTTTGTGTTCCTCTTCTCCCAGTTCTAGATTCTAAATTACTTCCCAGGAGGAAGAGTTATACCTATAATTGGGAGAATGTAAGTCATATTACATATTATGTAATATGATTCACTTCCCCTCATCCTAAAACTCTAAAAGATGGTAAGTTTCTAGCTACTTGGGTCTCAGCGATCTACAGTTTCTGTGATTTATTTCAAGAAGATTGCATTGAAACCACCCTATCAAGGTTAGGTTTAGATTCTAAATGAATAAACAAATGACAGGTGGACAATTTTTAGACCCATACTGTATTAGTTCATTTTCACCCTGCTGATAAAGACGTACCGGAGACTGGGCAATTTACAAAAGAAAGAGGCTTAGTGGACTTACAGTTCCACATGGCTGGGGAGGCTTCACAATCATGGCGGAAGGCAAGGAGGAGAAAGTTACATCTTAGGTGGATGGCAGCAGGCTAAGAGAGAGAGCTTGTGCAGGGGAACTCCTCTTTATAAAACAATCAGGTCGCCGGGCATGGTGGCTCACACCTGTAATCCTAGCATTTTGGGAGGCCGAGGCAAGTGGATCACCTGAGGTCAGGAGTCCGAGACCAGCCTGACCAACATGGAGAAACCCCGACTCTACTAAAAATACAAAATTAGCCAGGCGTGGTGCCACGCCAGAAATAACTGCAAAAAAAAGCAAAAATTGACAAATGGAATCTAATTAAACTAAAGAACTTCTGCACAGCAGAAGAAACTATTAATTGAGTGAACAGACAACCTACAGAATGGGAGAAAATTTTTGCAAACTATACATCTGACAAAGGTCTAATATCCAGCATCTATACAGAACTTAAACAAATTTACAAGAAAAAAACAACTCCCTTAAAAAGTGGGCAAAGGACATGAACCGACACTTTTCAAAAGAAGACATACATGCAGCCAACAATCATATGAAAAAAGCTCAATATCACTGATAATTAGAGAAATGCAAATCAAAACCTCAGTAAGATACTGTCTAACACGAGTGACAATGGCCATTATGAAGAAGTCAAAAAATAACAGATGCTGACAAGGTTGTAGAGAAAAAAGAACATTATATATTGTTGGTGGGAGTGTAAATTAGTCCAGCCATTGTGGAAGACAGTGTGGCAATTCCTCAAAGACCAATGAAATACCATTGGAACCAACAATCACATCACTCGTTATGTACCCAAAGGAATATAAATATTTCTACTATAAAGACACATCCATGTGTATGTTCATTGCAGCACTATTCAGAATAACAAAGACATGGAATCAACCCAAATGCTCATCAATGTAGACTAGATAAAGAAAATGTGGCACATATACACTGTGGAGTACTATGAAGCCATAAAAAAGAATGAGATCATGTCCTTTGCAGGGACATGGATGGAACTTGAGACCATTATCCTTAGCAAACTAACATAGGAACAGAAAACCAAATGCTGCATGTTTTCACTTATAAGTGGAAGCTAAATGATGAGAACACAAGGACACAGAGAGGGGAACAACACACACTAGGGTATTTCAGAGGGTGAGGGGTGGGCAAAGGGAGAGGATCAGGAAAAATAACTAATGGGTCCTAGGCTTAATACCTGGGTAATGAAATAATCTGTACAAAAAATCCCCATGACAAAAGTTTACCTGTGTAACAAACCTGCACTTGTACCCCTGAATTTAGAAGTTAAAAAAAGTTTGTGGCATGAATTAAGGAAACAATTAACAATGAGATGTCCTTATTAATAAACAAATTAGGAACTCCTATATATATTTTTTTCCTCCCTTAAACAGCTATTCCTTGGATTCCTGAGAGTCTACTATTAATGGGATATTCTTTTATGTTATGTATTATCTTTCTCCATTTATTTCTTAAAATTCACATTCACCTTTAAATGTAGTTTAACCAATCCCTTTACATCTTATTGTGAATGTATTAACCAGAACTTTATCTCTGGTACTGGATATTCTAGGCATCAGAGTCTAAGAAAATGATAAAAGAATGCTTGGAAAAAATGGCTGGAGAAAGCAAAAACAAAGGGGCCAAACAAAAGGCATAGGATTCTTTTTTTTTTTTTAGGGGCCAGAGACCTATTTTATAGGTTTGCTGTTAAAAGTCTTTACATTTTCCCATGTCACTGTCTTTTTTTTATTATTATTATACTTTAAGTTTTAGGGTACATGTGCACAATGTGCAGGTTAGTTACATATGTATACATGTGCCTTGCTGGTGTGCTGCACCCATTAACTCATCATTTAGCATTACGTATATCTCCTAATGCTATCCAGGCATAGGATTCTTGCAAAGAACCAACTAATATAATACTGTATATTTATGGGTTTCTACTCTCCAAATCAAAGCAGAAATTCTCAAACAACCAATTATTTTCTTTTGACTCAACATAATCATTCTAGATTTAATGATATTCCAATTACTTTTCCTGGGTATAATTATTCCTAATAAACATACCACTGTCATGTCAGAGAACATATGTTTTCAGAAATATTGTTCAATTTTGATTGTTGGTGAATTTCAGCCACTATGCCTTCCACCAAGCCTTGTCAAGCCTGCGGTTCTCTTCTCTTTGGCAGTAATGTTTGGAATGGGGTCCCTGCCCTGATGATTCCAAGACTTCTGATATCTGGCCCTAAAAATCCTTATTATAAGGTATACTAGCATTTAATATAACATAAGCTCTGTGAGACTAGAGCATTTCTTTTGTATACAGTCTATATAATATAGTGCCATATAAATAATCATTAATGAATACATGCTGAATAATTGGTTACATCAATAAATGAATAGATTTACTCTGAGAGCGTTTCTTAGAACCAGCTCCCATAGATTTGGATATTGATCTAGGATTATCATACACAGTGAATGAATAATGGGAACACTAATGGTGAGAGTCTGGAAGCTTCCAATTGATGCAGTAATTTCCCATTCAGTCCAACTGATATTCTGCCAAATGAATCAAAAGGCTTTAGAACATAAGCTTGATTCTTAGCTGAGTAAGGTTACATTTGGTGGCTCTAGAATGCCTTCACAGCATTCATAGTTCAAAGAACTTTGTAGTTCATAAACCAGAAATGATCTTGGCTCTAACTTTATGGACAAGGAGACTTGGTCCTTGGTTTCTCCAGGGTTCCAATTATAGTAAAAGTATCAAAGTAGCAGAGAATAATTAAAACCCAGAGCTCCTTATTCCTTATCCAGAGCTCTTTGCTTCCCTTATGACTGAGATACCATCTGATCTAAATGGATAGATTAAACATAAATTTCATTTTTCTTGGTTAGTGTTCTTGTTCACTGATATAGAAAATTGAGCAATTGATTTTTATTAAGGTAAAGTTTATGACAGCTTTCCCAATGATGACCACAGCTGAAGTTGTGGACACTGATAATCTTTTACTGCTTTTAATAACTCTATAAGGAAGGGAAAACAAAACTCACATTTACTGTGAGAAAAAGAAGAAAAGATATCTTAGAAATTGAAGAAACTGGTGGTTACTTCAAATGCCTTCTCTTGTATCGAAACCTAAGAAAAAGTTCTAAAACATTTGTTCAGGCTTTTAAGTTATCTTCAAAATTCCCCAATCCATTTGGTAAACAGTGAAAATAACTGTCTTAGAGCTATAAAATCAGGTAATTGCATTACTTGAATCAACTAGCTTTAAAACAAACAAACAAACAAACAGAAAAACCTTGTAAAGAAACTTTCTCTTTACTCAATATTTTTACTGACCCTCCCTGTTGGTCCCATGACACAGCCTCTTTCCCAGTTTCTTCCTTAACTGTTGACCCTATATATGAAATAAACTGGACTTCCTATTGAACATTGATGTACATAAGCTCAATTCTTTAAACACCTCTGTGGCCTGTGGGCTAATACACTCTTTTTTCACCAGTGTTCACCAATTGTTTTCACAGGATAGAATATGCACTCTGCCTAGGCTAGCTGAAGATTTATCCAAAGCTAAGCTTTCAGAAAAGTCTTTTGCAATCATACCCTATGAGCCTACAGCCCTTGCTGACAAATGCATTTCCTCTTAATGAGACATTTACCTAAACCCTAATAACCTAATAACCCTAATAACCTTAATGAGACATTTACCTCTTAATGAGACATTTATCTAAACCCTAAGCATTAGTAAAGAGTGAAACTGTGCTAGATTATGGGGCACAGATTATGTTCCTTCCTCATCCTACCCATACCCTGAAGGATCCCTAATATCGCAAGGACTTCCAGTCCATTAGCCTTAAGTGATCTATGGTATCACAGGTGTAAATTGCCTGACTTTTAAAAAATATAATTAATCAGCTGTAGGAGATCTTAACAGCTGGGACACAGAACATATGGCTAATAGAAAAGCTAATACAAAAGCTACATATTCTTAGAGCTTATTTGTGTCAATGTAGGAAAAATCCTATTCTTTACCCCCAGAAACTTGACAGTATTAGTTATTTATATTCTGTCCCATAAAGAAACAGGTGCAGACACAGGGCTAGAACTTTCCTTCAATTCCAAGGGTATAGATTTATAGTATTACATGTTTCTAAATCCCTTCATATGGAAAAGCTTCTTACTCTGTGTACGTGTATACCTCAGTAATTGATGATATGAACAATTATATCAAAAAGGCTTTTAAGTTACTTTTTTGTATAAGACCATACTCTAAATTCTATGAAGCAGCAAAAATATTTCAATGCTCCATGTGCATTATTCATATTTACTGTGAAAATGTGGTGAAGGGAGATACTAGATTATTTTGAATCTTATATTGATATTCAAATTGAGATATTCTAAAGAAGTGTGAGTTATAAAAATAAGCTTGGATGTTACAAAAACTAAGACTGTCTTTGAAGAGGAGAATGTTAACGTGGTTCATTTAAGAGACTTTACATTTAATAGCCTCATTTATTCCTTATTTCCATTGTGATGGGAGTCACATGCTGGCTTTGTGATTCACACCTGGCTAGATGTGACGGTGGGGGAGGTTTGCTTGCAGAAGTGCCACTGTATTTCTACAAACATGTGACAGATCCCCTCAAGACAAAAGATAGAAATTTTATTTTTTTTTCAAATTTGGAAAGCGTCTCCTATGAACACCACGTCTTAGGCATTTATTTAAGCAAAATTTACACACTACTGAGAGAGCCTTCATTATGTTTGTGCTATTACCTCTTTTATCTTTTTAATAATAAATATTTATATTGTGCTTTTGTTATTCGTCCTGTTGCTCCCTTCCTCCCACCTTCATTCTTTTTCTTTTTTTTCTTTGAGACAGGGTCTTGCTCTGTCGCCCAGCCTGGAGTGCAGTGGCATGATCTCGGCTCACTGCAACCTCCACCTCCCAGGCTCAAACAATCCTCCCACCTCAGCTACCCGAGTAGCTTGGACGACAGGTGCACGTCACCACACCTGGATAATTTTTTTGTATTTTTGGTAGAGATGGGATTTTGTCATGCTGCCCAGGCTGCTCTGGAACTCCTGAGCTCAAGCGATCTGCCATCCTCAGCCTCCCAGAGTTCTGGGATTACAGCCATGAACCACTGCACCTGGCCCCCAGTTGCATTCTAATCAGTAAATATTTACTGGCTTTCAGAAGTTATTTACTATTTCTTAAGGATTCTCTTTAAGGTTCACAGAAATATGGAGAATGTGTAAATATTAGTTGTTCCAACGAATCCTAATAAAAGTTATAAAACTAGCTACTTCAATTTCACTGCAATAGACTGATTTCCACACTTCTAATTTCAAGAAAATATATAGGTCTATTATTTTGTTAATACATAACCAACATTATTGATGATTTTTCCATAATTCTTTAATAAAAATGTTATTCATTATATGCATAATTTGTTACTAGTTCCCTCTTGCACAAAATCAATGTCTATGTATCTTTAACACATGTAGGGATCTTGGCTCTCTTAGAAGAGCTATGTAATTAAGGTCCTCAGTGGTCGTGGATTTCATTCTAATGGAGGACATTTCTCCTTTAGTTAATATTATTTCCTGTTACAGAATCTGGCCCATTAACTTTCTCACTGCACGTGGTTTAGAACTTTTGGATGTTCAGAACATTTAAAATGATTCGGGAAAAGGAGAGTGGTGGAGGGAGAGAAATAGCAAATTATAATATATCCAAGTATTTAAGTCTTGGCTTTAATACTAAATAGCAAACTACTCGACCATTCTTAACCTTGATTACTTCATTCCTAAACAGTGGTAATAATATTCTTATATTTTCTAGGGAAATTATTGTATAAAATAAGTGAGATAATATATGTAAAGATATTTTGAAAATTGTTAAAGGATGTACAAATATAAAGTGGCCTCATCATTATATACAGATTTCCAAATAAAATAAAGTATATACAGTTTGACTAAATAATCATGTCTTACAGAAAAGTCAGGGCCTAAGCAAAGTTATGAAATTATTGAAGTGTGATTAGATATATTAATCAGGTTGGATTAGGTTATGCTGCATAATAAACTCAAAAACACAGTGGTGACTTAGAACGAAAGGATTTAATTTTTCTTTCAAGGTTCATGTCCTTTGAGAATTTTCTGGGAGACTCAAAGCAAAGGCTGAATGACCACCTTCTGGAACATTATATTACCACATCAGAGGGAAAATGGACAACAGAGGGCCTTTATGCTCTGGTACAAAAGTGGCACACTCTATTTCCATTCACATTCCTTGGCCAGAACTAGTCATACGGTTCACCAACAATTAGGGCCATAGGAAATGCAATCATATAAGGTGTGCAGAAAGTGGAGAGCAGGAGCACACCTCTAATGACTACCCCATTAAGATTTAAGAAGATTCCTAACTTACAGAAACTTCCATATTCTCCTTTTAGGAGCTCTCCCCTTCAGATTTGACTTGCATATCATTTTTGTAGAAATTTAAATATTTGTTGATAGAATGCAGAATTGTAACAATAAACACATACCCACAAACACACATGCATGCACAATGATAGAAGATTAAGATATTTATTTCCCGAAAAGACATCTCTGTTTTAACAATTGACTCTTAAGAAAAATCTTCAGAAATCCAATGGATGAATTGTTGTTCTCTACTTTTTGGCATTTGGGGATTTAGTTTGCCTATTCCTGGGTTATTTTTAAGCAAATGAGACTACCTGTCCAGTTCAGATAACAACAGAGAGAGGGTTTGTCCTCTTTTATGAAACAGAAAGCTGGAATAGGTGTGTTTCATTCTTATCATTGAACTAGCACCACGTCATGGATATGTAAAGTGTTCTGAGGGTTCCTTCTCTCAAAGTGGAAGCTCAGAGATCTATATCTCAGGGAGTCAATGCAAATACTGACTTTGAATAATAAAATGAGAAGGTAAAAAGAAACAAATGTATTATTGTCATTTCCCTGACATTTTTCCAGCCATTGTTTAACCAGATGGTTCATTTGAAGTGTTGTTTGTGTTTTTCTGTTTTAAAATAAACTCTCCCTTTTCCCTTTGTTGTTTTCTTTAAAAATATTGTGTTCATTTGATAGTCTTTTTTCAAAAATGCAAGCATAAAATAATAATGTGTTCTACACATAATAACCTTCTTTCATAGTTTTTAAAATATTGCAAATTTTCAAAGGCCAGCATAAAGCAAACCAAACCAAACAAAGATAATATTTGCTGAAAATTGCTTGAAAAAAAGAATGACTATTTTTTTTCTCCCAGGAAAAGCATACAGTACGGCAAGCGACTCCCTACTTCCTTGAAAGCAGTCATGGTTGACTGGTACTCTGAAGGACAGTGACCTCAGTGTCCTCTAATAGCCTAATATATAGTAATTTAATTTTTCAAGCCCTTAATTCAAGTGAAGGCAAAAGTTAAAAAAAAAATTAAACAACAGTATGTGATATGTAACAATTAAATTTTGTGTGTGCGTATGTGTGACAAATATTATGGCTGAATGAACATATATGAGACACACAGAAAATTTTAGCAAGGTCTCTCTGTTCCTAAACAGCAAAATTAACAAGTATCCACTTCTATATTCTTTTTCAAGTTCCAGCTTCACTGATGATTGCTAGTTTGGCTAGTTGTATTTAACAAAACATATGTAAAAATACTAAGTATTTAAAAATTAGTAAAATTGCCTTTCTAATCAAAATACATCTAATTTTGATGATCTCCAACTTTCAAACCTCTTAAACACTCTCTTAAATTTAACAAAGTATCAAAATATTTGTTTAAAAATCATTTTTATAGTAAATTACTTAAAATTTAATTTTATAAGCGCAGGTTTATAGATTCCTAAGAGGCATACACAAACTTCAGGAGTTTTTTATACTTTTGTTTGATTTTTCATAGATAATCTAAAACTAATCTGTGATCAAGTTGAATTATTTGTTGCTTGTAAAGAGAAAACCTTTCATTTCAGTGTGATTCGCAATTGAAAGGCATTTTAATTGAATATGGTTTTAGTGTCTTAGGTTATTCAATAAATTGAGAACTAATATCAATAAAATAAAATAGTGTAGATGGGTGGAAATGAACAGGGGAGGATTTATGTAAATAATCCATATGTGTTAAATGAAGTCATATGTCATAAGGATGAGCTATAAGGGGGAAGGACTTTCAACTCTTAAGAGAGCAAAGTAAAAGAGAAGCGATTCAGCACAGGGAACAAAAATTTTTGTTCATGTTCAATTTAGAAGAAATGCATTATAGCACACAGTATTCAGTTCAGGTTGAGATAAGATATATTATATTACATAGGTACAATACTGTGCTTATCCATTGTATTAAATACAAATGCAAGATTTTTGTTGTTGTTAAAGTGTTATTTTTTTGTTAGCATTTGAAGGTTACTATAATTCTCTTGAACAATTAAGAATTAGACAGAGAAAAGTTTAGAAGCTAGAAATTTTAAAAATCACTTTTACTACTATTAAAGACAATATTATGCAATGTGGTTTACGTCTACGGACAAGGGGCTTTCTGACGCCTCATGCCAGAAATGGACAAGCTACCCTTCAGTCATTGACCCTCTGGTTCAGCACAGACCTCCCGTTACCCCAGCAGCCATCTCCCCTGTGGCAGGCAGGGGTGAAGCCTGAGGGATGTTTCCTTGGGAATGTAAAAGGGTAATGGAAGTGGGTGGCCAAAAGGCCCAGTTCCTCATTCCATACTCTTATCAGATTAAATCATTCTTTCTCTCAGGAGGAAGAGTGAATGTGAGTATGTGGAAAGGCTAGGAGGGCTACTGAGTGTAGCTTCCCTCTTATGAAAAAAGAAAAAACAAAAGGATTTTTAAAAAGAGAGCTATAGGAAAGAGACATTAACTGCTATCATTCCCAGCCTTAACTTTAAAAATTAGGATCCATTTTGCAGGTGTTTCATTACATTAGATTGATTAGACCATCAAAATAATGGTTTGTAGTTAAAAGGTGTCAATTAACTATAAAATAAAAATCACAGTCAATAATGATCAAAATCACAAAAATCAAAATAACAAAAAGTGGGACATAGTTTAAGCAAATATGTCTTTTCATTATTAAACTCAACAGTAGAAATACTATATAACAAAATAATGTTACTTAGCGTATTAAATTTATTATTACATTTAACTTTATAGTAGTTATAGTTTTATTTATATTTAACTTGTTAATTATTTTCACTTTAAAATATATGAGATCTACATGCAAAAGGAATTTTAATTAGTGTTTTTGTTTACATGTAATTGACGTGAAAATAAAAATAACCTGAATAAAGCTGGAATTCATAAAAATGCTCTTTCCTTAAAAGAAAATTTGAAAAATTATTTTAAAAACACTAGAATGTTCAAATTAAGCACCACACCGTTTATTTAATTATAGACATTATCCATATGTATAGATACCTATTAGAGTTTCAGCCATAATTTTGAAAGACAGGATCCTGAATGTTTAAATCCTAAAAGATCAAAATCCCTAGAGTCTAAAATTATGAAAATTTTAATTCTAAAAGATCAAAATCACAAAAGTGTAATTCTGCAAAAAAGAATAAAAAATTCTTTAAAGATATTTATTTACATTTTTTAAGGATTTATTTGAGAAACACAAAAACACCACAGAACACTTCTTAGACCACTTTATATAGTAAAATGGGCAATAATGGCATACATATTTTTGCAAGCATAACCACCCAGGTATACTAATGACAGTCTCATGAGTATAACATTTATGAGCAGATGAACTGTATTCATATAGAAATAGGTCAAACAGTGAAATGTATAAGCACATATTACTATGGTTGGTAATTGTGTACACCCAGCTTTATAACCACAGTCATCTAAAACACCATCATGGACAACTTAAGCCTTTGGTTTGTTTTATTTGAGACAAAGTCTCACTCAGACTGCAGTGCGGTAGTACAGTCAGATCAGGGTTCACTGCAGCCTCGACCTCCTGAGCTCAGACAATCCTTCTGCCTCAGCCTCCAGAGTAGATGGGAATACAGACATGTGCCACCACACCAGGCTATATTTTTAATTATTTGTAGAGATAGGGGTCTCACTTGGTTGGCCAGGCTGGTCTCCTGGGCCTAAGTGATCCTCCCGCTTTGGCCTCCCAGAGTGTTGGGATTACAAGCATGAGCTACTACGCCCAGCCCAACTTAAATCTTTTTACCAGAGGGACCAAAACCCACAATGGTTCAGCACAGCATGCACAGTCTCCCAAAGAGCTGAGATCCTGAGAAGTTTTATATTTCACAAATGCAAATGTACAAAAAGACATCTTTTCCTGTATTGAGGAAGTTTCAACGTTTTTATGTACACATACAATACTCTCACATGAAGTCAATGTTGTGATAAAGCACTGTTGTGGCATGAAATTTGCAAAAAAAAATGCAAATGACTTCTGGCAAATGCAGCATTATTTCGCTAAAAGTTCCTGGGATTTCATTAGCTGGAAGGAAAGCCAATTTAGACAAATGGTGCATTTTTAAACTAAAGTGTTCATTCTTGCCCTATCACATGGCCAATCCACTCATCTGAGTTTGCCACCAAATGCAAATAAAGACAATAACAAAGTATTAGTTCCACCTAATATGATGCAACTTTGGTTGATGAGACTCCTGCCTAAAACCTAAAATGCGCTAATCCCTTTCCCAGAATTCAGCTTTCAGGATTTCAACTTTCAGAATTTTAATCTTTTGGAATTGTGAGTTATGGAATTTTAGACTTTAAGGATTTTGATCTTCAGGGATTTCAACATTCAGGATTATGACGTTCAGGATTGTGTCTTTCAGGATTACGACTAGCACAGATCTATTCCTATCTGGACATATTGACTTGAGAGACAGCCAGAAAGAGAGAAATGTAGATAGACAAAATGAATTAAAATTTGCATTATAGCAATAAATATTTGCTGACATGATCAGGGATTATAATTAATAAAATTAGGGTACAGTGGTGATTTATTTGTAAAATGAAATAAATGCTATCATTGACTTATAAATTGTCTTCCATCTTTTGCTAAATTTCTCCCAAGGAAAATCTGGAGGGTGAACAAGACAAGGTGCAGATCATCTTAAGGAACTTAATGTTTTCACCACAGCCTTCAGATGAAGCCAGGTGATTCAATGACCTCATTGTGGCTGCTTTCATTTTATAGTGTGAAAGCTCACCTTCAGGTTAAAAAAAACAACAAAAAATACAACACTAAAAAGTGTATGCAAGACAATCAATCATGTAGCCAGAAATTGGGATTTTATTATACATTTAAAAGAAAAATCCTGAAGGATTTTAATCAAGAAAGTAAGATGACCTGGCTGTTGTATGAAGAACAGATGGTACAAGATAAGAAGTGGAAAAGGAAAGGCCAGTTAGGAGTCCTAACAGAAGAGACGTTCAGGGTTAGAATCAGAACTAGGGTGAAGTTCAGGAAGGATCTAGACAGAGAGGAGAGAGTTGTAGTTAATGGTGGTATGAAGAATGGCCATAAGGTTGGGTGAAGTGGCAAGACTGTGACAAAGTATTCCAGGAATTGGTCCTACCCACTCCACCAATCATTTCCCTGACATTTTTCTCACTTTTAACTTTTTCCTTCATAGCATTGCAACAATTGTAATGATTTATTTGCACTGTAAATTGTTCAGTGTCCAGCTATCCTATTTAACTCTACATACCATAAGGGTGAGTACTGTGTCTGTTTTGAATTGTATCCTCAGCTTGTAGTTCGGTGCCTACTACAAAGTTGGCTTTCATTAGATCTTTATTAAAATAATAAATGAATGAATGCACCTTTCACCCAAGCTGTATGGAGAAAATATGTAGTAGGTAGTGTTAAGCCTTATATAGGCTGCCTTGCGTCAATCGCAAAATTTTAAGAAATGATAACAAAACATGGTGTTAAGTTAGTTGTTATTTATATATTCCAGGCAATATTTAGTTTAGCCCCAATAAGTTTCTTACATCTTTACCAGAAATTGTACCTATGACCTAAATTATAGCTTTTTTTTTTTTTTTTTTTTTTTGAGACGGAGTCTCGCTCTGTCACCCAGGCTGGAGTGCAGTGGCTCTATCTCGGCTCACTGCAAGCTCCGCCTCCCGGGTTCACGCCATTCTCTTGCCTCAGCCTGTAGCTGGAACTACAGGCACCCACCACCATGCCCGGCTAATTTTTTGTATTTTTAGTAGAGACGGGGTTTCCCCGTGTTAGCCAGGATGGTCTTGATCGCCTGATCTCGTGATCCGCCCGCCTCGGCCTCCCAAAGTGCTGGGATTACAGGCATGAGCCACCACGCCGGGCCAAATTATAGCTTTTAACAGTATAAAGTCTATGTGTGCCTCATAAGCCCCTGATATCAGTTATCAGAAAATTTATTTTATCCCTAGGAAAACAGGAATAATATGTTGTCATTTATGTTGTCAGGAGGAGCTAGTTTTGAGGGTGGAATTTAAAGAGTCTATTTTTTCCCCTTAGAACTTATTTCTAACCCCTGGCAGTACAGCTAGCTTAAAAAAAAATTAGGCCTTGATAACAGTGTTTGCAAGGAGCATGTCAAAACTGTTTAGGAGAAAAAATATCTAAAGATAGCATTAATAATTAATAAGCAATGATAAATTGGAAACTGTATAACTCATTCTCTTTTATATATTAAGTCAGTTCTCAGGTCATTTATTTGATATCACTTTGTTAACCTACTTTTGTTATCTATGTGAACATAGTAAAACTATAATTCTTTAAAATATTTCTCATGATTCAGAATTCCATCAATTTACTTCTCTTCCTCTTTCACAAGTCTAAACTAGTGAGATTTTACTGTAATTTTTACTATTAATTAAGACCCAAACAATAATGATTATTTGATCTCTGTATTTATTAGATCATGTTATTATTAAAGGCAATAATTCTTTCTTTTTTTTTACTTTCCATAATTAAATTATCAAGAAATTGCATGTCAATTGCATAATCAAATTATCAAGAAATTTATTGAGACACAGGCTTGATAATAAGTTTTCTATGAAAATACTTTGATTAAAAACATGAAGTTCAATAAACTAAACATATTTAGCTTTTAGAATGCAATTATTTACATTGAATTATAATGAATAAACTGGTATTTATTTTTCATAACACTTGCCATTAGCCAACATTCTATTTTAACATATGCTTATATATTAATGTGCATATATATGACATACAGGCTTAATACTAATGAAAATATGAATGGATTATACAGCATGTTAAAAAATTCCCTAGTAATATTTTCTCTCCTTCCTATACTAAATAATTTAAAAGGACATTTTCAATTTTTCATTCCTTTATGAAATAAATTAGGTTCACACTAATCTGTCCCATGTAGTCAATTATTCTAGTTAAATTTCTTATAGATATCATGAGATTAATAGCAATGTTCTAAAAAATACAGAGTTGCACATATATGAGAACATGTTTTCTTTTTGGCCATTACATGATCATTCCAGTGATAGATATCACAGATTAGGAGCTAGGCTTTGTGGCAAAAAAAAAAAAAAAGAAAAAAAAAACAAGATTAAATATTATAATCTAGTTGGAATAGTGAAATTGCTAGTTTCCTCTGATTAAAAAATTGTAAGCTTGTCTCAGCTATGAGGAGGTAAATGCTACTTAACAAGAATAGCAATGCTTGGAAACATAATGAACTCTCTAGATGGAAATAAATTATCCTTATTAGGCAACTTGCTTTTTTCATTGTTTCTGTTTATTATTTCACTTAGTAATGAATACTATAGCCAATTTGTAAAGTAATGAACAGTTTTAGAGCACTAATAAAAAGAAAACAGGTACAGTTAAAAAAAAAGAAAAAATGGAATTTTACTTGGTATCTTTTATAGTCTAGAAATAAGCAAATTTCTAGTTCTAGAATTTATCACCTATTTCTTTAGACATTTTGACCTTTTTTACCTTTTAGAATACATTTTCCAGGGTCTGCATCTAGTAGAATATTATTTTATTAAAACATTTGCAGTATTTGCAAGGCACCATTTCTCATGATAAAACATTAAAGCTAAGTAAATACACAGGAAAATGAAAGCACCAAGTTATTAAATTATGATTGCAGATATGTCCTTAGCAGGGGAGGTTTGATCAAGAAAGCTACTTGGATTTAATATGCTCTTGTCACGTATGTTTAGAATTAACACATACCATGAAAAATGGATATTATTATTATTTTCATCAGCTCAGCATGCCATAACAAAATACTATAGGCTGTGTGGCTTAAACAAAAGAAATTTATTTTATCAGTTTTGGAGGCTGGGAAATCTAAGATCAGGGTGCCAGCATGGTCAAGTCTGGTGAGGGGGCTCTTTCTGGCTTGCAGAGTGCTGCCTTCTCCCTATGTCCTCACATGGTGGAAAGAGAGTACAACCTGTCTAGTGTCTCTTCTCATAAGTGCACTAATCTCATCATAAGGGCTTCATCCTCATGACTTTATCTAACCCTAATAACCTCTCAAAGATGCCATCTCCAAATAACAGTACATTTGAAGTTAGGGCATCGACATTCAAATTTTGGGGGAACACAAACATTCACCCATAATAGTGATATATTCCAAGAAAAGTCACTAAGCAAAAGGCAAGTGTCACTTAAAAGGGAGAGAGAGAGGAAGAGTAAAGGAGAGATTGAGAGAGGAATTGGGAAATGGACCTTTCTCTTTTATATTGAAGAAAGATTCAATTTGCAAAAGACTGACACCTCTCATCAGTATGAATTTAATAGCAGGAAATTCTAGACATGTATATCATATATGATAGAAAAGGTAGTGAGAAGATTTAGTAAATAGCAGATTCACAAGCTTGCGTTGGCCATACCATGTAAAGGACAATTATTAATACTTGGAAATATCTAAACTTGCTTAAAAATCTTTGTAAAGAGTAGTTCTATCTACTCCATAGACTATTGGCAAAAACAGTCTTTAATAAGGTGCTAAGGCCCTTCTATTCCTGCCTTCGAATTTACTGGAAGTAAACATAACAGCATTTACTTATAGAATTTTGGAACTAGAATGCCTTTATTCATGTAATAGGAAACTAATGCTTTGTATCCACTTGAAGAGGTTAATTGTGCTTTCTATGAGGCTTTTCTTGTAGAAAAATATGACAGTAAAAGAAGAGCCCAAGAGGAAAAGAGAAAACATGGGAATATAAAAGAAACAGACAAATGCCAAGAGAAAGAACTTTTCCATAAATTCCTTTTCATAAATACCGTCCTTTGTCTGAAACCTGAATAAAATCAACTTGCCTTCTGGATCCTTTGCTTTAATTTCTCAGAAAATGGAGTTCGAATAGGTCTCTAGTCCAGTGTTTTTGGCAAAAAAAATCATTGTAAATCAGGTTATTATTTCAAGAAATAGCTTAATTAATTTAGTGTTTCTATGTATAATTTTCTTGCAAAACAAAAATAAGTAAAGTTATATACTATTTTATTAAATGTGCTTTTGTTATAATTTCCACTCACTTCCCAAAATAAATTTTACTCAGGCATGACTTTGCTATGTTGGACCATACGTAGAAACATATAGTGTTTCTTTGTCAACATCATGGTATTCTGGTTTATAAAATGGTGAACTGTATATGACTGGAGATCAACAAAATTAATTAAAAATAAATTTTGAACAAAGGTAAAATCCCTGTAATCAGTATGTTGTAGAAGGAATAATAATCCTTGGTAATAGCAAGACTAATGTAACTTTCCAGATTTTCCGTAAAAATGTAGAAAGAGTTGGAAATGTTGGACAATTATCCTAAAGAATTAGTACAGTCATCTTCTCAGGTTTAATAATTATATTTTAAGCTAAAATATACAAAAAATGACAAAGAAGAGCAGCATTCCAGCTGTGATTTTATGTGACTTGCAGCTGTGTCCCACCTGCCCCAAGCATCAGTAATTTGGATGCTGGGCATTCTTGGCTCAGTAATGCACTTGTTGGAAAATGTTAAAGCTATTAGCAAAGACAATCTCAAATGAGAAGACACAGAAGAATAATGTCAGTAAGGCTGAATAAAACATTATTATCTTAAAACTTTTGCCTATTCCTTCTGTATAATATTAGCACAACTAAAAGGACGTGCTCGATTTTGCTTGCAGTGAGCTATTTTTAGTCCCTCAATTAAGCTCCATTCCAATAGTTATTATCATTAGTTAGCATTTGCATAGCAATATACATGTGTTAACGCAAGTGCTTTGCAATGATTTTTAGAGATTTCTCTTCTCTGTGGTCTTATGAGGTAAAAGTTAATCTACGTAAGATTTACAGGAAAATACAACTAATTATATAAATCCTACATTTTATGTCAAAACCACTTGCAGTTAGCTTTGCCACAAGCCAACATAAATTGCAGTTGTAGCTAAATCAAAAGAAAGGTGGCTAATTTATGCGAGGTCACATCTGGAGTGAGCCAAAGACCCGGGCATAAAACTCTATCCCCTTTATCCACGATCTTGTACACTCCCCCAATAATATCATAAAGGTTCTGAATCCAACTGGCAATAAAACCATAATGTGAACATATGCAATTAAATATAGCATCAGAACAGCCACATATTACTGACCTTGCACGATACATGGCAGCCGTGAATACCATTAGAAGTGAGATCCAATCCCCAAAGGCCAAGGAAATTGGAGCCTCAGCTCCAGGGTTGGATAATGCCCTACTGAGGGCTGACTTTCGTTACCTGGGTCAGGTTAGATGGTTACAAGCTCCACACTGCTTTTCTGGTGATCCCCTTAACATAAAATTAAAATAGAAGCCATAGTCAACATATGTACATGCCAGTGGCTCTTTAAACATTAAGCTCATTTGTTAGGGGAAAAAAAGCCTCAAAACTAATAAGTATGACTGTTAAAAATCTTGAAGGTGATTCTTTGAACACTCAGAACCTTACGGTTTCTCCTCTTTTGTGTTTACTTCTCAGAAGCTTCTAGCTGCTGTTCCTGAATCAGAGGATCTCCCAAAAGGTCTGCTTTGGCTCCCTCCTTCCTTTTATTTTATATCAATTGTAAAGATTTGCCTATATAAATATGATAAATCCTTCATTTCTTTCCATTGTGTTTTCACTTTAATGAGAAAGGAAGATTGAAGACTAAGAATTATACAGTAGCTTCTGTTATTTTCTCACAGAAAAAAAAATCTAAAGATTTCACATATAATTCCTCATTTCAGAGGGTGGGGAAGCTTGGCATATACTACTATCACCCTTTGTTCTATTTACTAAAAGGAAAAACATTTAAAGATCCTTATTCTCATAATTTTCTCTCTAATGTATTATTGTAAAAAGTCTTAATGCAATCCATATTAAAACGCTTTTAGGCCAGGCACGGTGACTTACACATATAAGGCCAACACTTTGGGAGGCTGAGGTGGGAGGATCGCTTGAGCAAAGGAGTTTGAAGTTGCAATAAGCTACAGTTGCACCACTAGACTCCAGCCTGGGCAACAGAGTGAGATCCTGCCTCAAAAAGATAAATAAAATGAAATAAAAATGCTTTAGGAGGAAAGGAAGAAAAATAAGTTAATATAGTATATGTAGGCCCACATACATCTTAAAAAATCTGAATTTAACAAATTGATATTGTCCCAGGTGACAGGAATCTCAGTTACCAAAAATATCTTCTATATCCCAAACCTTAAATTCTTAGTCTCCGTTGTCACCTGTCACAGTGTTTTACAAATCTTGACACCTTTTTTCTAAAATACGAAGTAAAACTTCAGTTTGAGAGAGACTCTCCAAACCCACAGACAGAGTAATCAAGGACTCTCAGGTTCTGAGAGTTCATGGCTTCCCGACACGATCCCCAGGATCAGTCCTCTCCTGCTCTAGAGCCACTGTTGGCATTCACACTTACGTTGCTACCAAACACACAGGGTTTTCTGTGGCCCAGTGAGGACCACTGTTCTCCTGAGTTGTTTCTCCAAGTCTCCTTGCTACCAGTCAAATCCAGCACAAGAACCATGAAAGGGAAATCCCTGTGCATGTGTATGGCTGCCCCAAGTCCCAGGGTACTCATCCTTTTTTCTACTATAATTGGTTGAGCTCTCACAATATGTTCCTACATTGGTCTCTATTTCTAGGTTCTCACTAGTTTCACTCATGAGACCTCAGTCCCCGTTGAGGGACTGGACTCTGATTTTGGTTTGATGATTGGGAATCCCTGTCCTCTGCTCCTACAGGGCCTGGAGACTAAACTGCTACCAAGTGACCTCCCTGGAACCCTAAGGAGTGAATAAATTTTCTAAATGCTGCATAGCTCCCCTTGAAGTTCTGCTGCCTGAGATTCTTGTAATTACTTAATATCACTATTAACAAAAATATTATAGACTATCTAGGAATTACTATAATGAGTGAATTCATATGTAAGATATAGTGCCCTTCTCTGACTCCTTCATCTGCTTCTACATAGTCTAGACTATACAATCCTTGAAATAAGAAACTATGACCTTCATTGTTTCACACTCCAAAGCCTAGCACTGTTAGTGCTGTGGTTCAAGGCATAAATGAACGAATTCCCCCATGTGATAGGTTAAATCATGGCTCTCCAAAGATGTCCATAACTTAATCCCATGAACCTGTGAATATATTACATTGCATGGAAAAGAAACTTTGCAGACATAATGAAGTTTATGGACTTTAGGAAGAGTAACCTGAATTATCCAGGTTGGCCCAATCTAATTACATGAAAAAGCAGAGAACTTCCTTTGGCTGGAGCCACATAGATAACAGTAGAAGGCAGAAGAGGAACAGCAGGAACAATGATAGAAGTTAGATTTCAAATATGAGAAGGCTGTGCTGTAAGAGGTCATAAACACAAACTAAAGAGAGGCCTCTAAGAGTGAAGGGTGCCCTTCTACTCACAGTTAGCAATGAAGTGGATATTTCAATCCTACATCCATCCACCAAATTTGGCCAACAATACAAATGAATGTGAAAGCTGATTCCTCTCCAGAGCCTCCCATAAGGAATGCAGCCTTGCTGACACCTTGATTTTAACCTGGCGAGACCTGTGTTAGACTTCTGATCTATAGGAACTGTGCCCTTAAGATTGTGGTTATTTTTTACAGCAGCCATAGAAAACTAATACACCTTGGGAGGCCGAGGCGGGTGGATCATGAGGTCAGGAGATCGAGACCATCCTGGCTAACAAGGTGAAACCCCGTCTCTACTAAAAATACAGAAAATTAGCCGGGCGCGGTGACGGGCGCCTGTAGTCCCAGCTACTCGGGAGGCTGAGGCAGGAGAATGGCGTGAACCCGGGAAGCGGAGCTTGCAGTGAGCCGAGATTGCGCCACTGCAGTCCGCAGTCCGGCCTGGGCGACAGAGCGAGACTCCGTCTCAAAAAAAAAAAAAAAAAAAAAAAAAAAGAAAACTAATACACCTAATTTCTGGTTATCTCTGTTGCAGGCTCCTAGTTTGGGTTATGTCTTAAATCTGTTCTCTTTCATATCCTCTTGGACAGCATGCCTAGGAGGAATAATTGTTAGAAGAACCAAAGAATTTGCCAATGTAGGCTAATTTCATACAAAATGTTTCTTTCCTTTGAATACCTTCTTCGCAAATGAAAACTTGAATTTTCTAATTACAACAAACATATACAACATTTCAGTCCTTGATGCTTTTATTCCAGAAGCTGTCAAAACTTAAAAGTATATTATATCTGCCTGGAGGGCTTGTTAATACACACATTTCTGGGCCCTAGCTCCACAGTTTCTGATTCTATGAGTCTGATATAGTCCAGAGAGTTTTCATTTCTAACAAGTTCCCACGTGGTGCCAATGCTTCTGGTTAGCTGAACATCCTTTGAAAACTACTGTTTAGTAAAGTCAAATAATTCTTTTGTTCATAAAATATTAATATCTTTTATTCCTGCTCATTTTTTACCTATCTCCATATTAATATTTATCTGGGTATGTGCCCTTCTATTAAGAGAGTAGAAAACAGCAAAATAGATGATTGATTTCAGTAAATTTTTCTGATAATAATGTAGGTTATTGAAATTGAAATTATTTGGAGATTACCTATGCCAACATTTCTCAATAGAGGTGCTCTTGGTATTTGCAGTGAGACAATTCTTCATTGTGTCAAATTCTATTGTATATTCCATGTACTGAAGAACTTACTACCTCTGACCCCTTTCCACTAAATGCTCATAGAATTTCACCCTCATAGTGGTAACCAACAATCTGGCACACATTCCCAGATGTCCCTGTGTTGGATGTGCAACACTAATTGAAAACTATAAATCTATTTTATTCAAGTTTCCATGCGATTCTTCCCTATATTAGTAAGGATTTTCAAATTTTACTCTCATGTTTTATTCATAAATACTAGTTATTCTAAATATTTTAATTAATAGAATATATTACCGAATGAAGTCCCCGAGGCCACAATCAAGAAGAATATGTAGCTGGTACCATGAATTGGCTCACTCAGAAATGCATTCCATCCTCTTTCAAGTGTGCAGAGGCTGCTAAGTAAAGGCCACATTTACCAGACTCACTGAGGTATCCCTATATGGTTTAATGTCCACCAATGGGATGTGTCATCATGATCTGGAATTGAGGGAGAGACATACATGAGGAGGAACTGAGCAGAAAGCATCCATTTTATTTGTGCGTATTAAGGTAATATTGATATGTTTTGGAGCCAGAAACTGTAGCAATAGTTTCCTAATTTACTAGCCAACTTTCTGATTCCACCAGTCACCATCATTTCTGGGTTAGTGGACTCCTGAGTGGTCCAGTTCTACTCTATGGCTTTTGGATGCTCTCCTGGAAGTTGTATGACTTTAGGATTTATTGCTCAAGTTCAGCCTAGAGTCAACTTCATTTGCATTCCCCCAAATTCTATGAGCCATTTAATAGCCAGGAATAAACCTCCTTATGTTCCAGCTAGTTGGAGTAGAGTCGGCCCTCTGCAACTGAACTCTCCTCAATATAGAATACAACTAGAAATAAATAATAGCCAAGAGAACACCTATGAGTGTTTGTTTGCTTTTAAATCTAGAATCAGGGTAACTTGAAGGATAATTGTTCCCAAATCCATGCATATAACAAAAAGTTATAATATGTTTTTAATATTTTATCTCGATAGAAATCTAGTGACAAGTAATGCAGACAAGAATAAACAAATTTGACTATCAGTGGGTTTAGTATTATAGACAAAATAGTTTTCAGCTTTGTAAATTCCCCTCTCTTCATTTTTCCTCTATACCAAGCTGTCAAAGTGGAAGAAATTCTATTATTAAAGAATGATCTGTTTCGGTTTTTCAGGCCTTTCAATCAAAATGCATTTCTAAGTACAATTTAAAGAGACCTCAGATAGAATTGACCACGTTTTATTAGTGCTCCACAGTGTTTAAGAATATGGAAGAGAAAAGTTAGATTTCATGTCTGGATCAATAGGGACACTGAACTAAATCGCTGAAAGTGAAACTTGGAGCCAGAAGTAACCGTGACAAGTTAGCCAGCCCCACCTGCCTCAACCTAAAACAGGCACACATCCACAAATATACAGCCCTCAACCTTGGCCCTTGGAATGCAGAGAAATTCTGGTGAGGTTATTGGATATTCTAAATGTTTTAACACTGGCTTATCAACCAATTTTATGTGGTGTTTAATGGGCAGGGTTACACTATGATGATAATCTGTTTTTCTCTTATAAACCTAAATTCAAAATACAATGGTGTCTTTTCCCATAGAGGGCCAGCACCAGGAAAGCATTAAATTATATAATGTTTACCTTTGTTAGTTTCACAGTTTTTTTGATGTTCTTATTTTCTAGTGTTCTAAATTATTCATTTAAAATACATATATCTATTGGTTTCTAATTGTCCCTCTTCTCATTTTTATACATACTGTACACACAGTGCACACACACAGGTGTGCACACGGGAAACGTGTGTAACAGATTACTAAAGGTTTGGGGCTTGGGAAGTAGTGCATTGCTGCAACACAACTAAATGTAGTATAAAATATTTATTTAGTTCCAAATAATTAGATATTTATTTAAAATATCTAATCTCTTTAGTTATTTCCAAACTCACGCTTTTGTCCAGCATTCTATTCAGTTTCCCTGTTGACTCTTCTCATTGCTTTTTTTTTTCCCTTCCTCTTTTTTTCAGTATTCCTTCCCTTTCTTCTCTGCCTCACTCAGGGGCAAAACAAACAAACAATCAAATCAAAGCGATCTTCCATTTTCAGATGTACTCAGTTCTCTTTGGTCCCTACCTCCAAATTTAGCAGACTTGTTGCATATTCTGAGAATTTATCTCAGAATTACAAGATCTCTATCTTAAATTCTTTGATAATCTGAGTCGGGGGAGTAAGGAGGGTCAGGGGAGGAGTGGGAGGATTGGAGGAGGATTTCATAGTTTCCAGTTACATAAAGCTTTGTCTCTCAGTTATTCATTTTGGAATAATATAAATAAATTTTAATTGTATGGTGAGGTAGCAGACATTTCAAATTAGGGTGAGAGAAAATAGCTATAGGCTTTATAATACAGGAAGCATCAAATTAACTTTAGCTGGTATTGGTAAAGTGATTTCTTCCTTCATGTATCTTCCTACAAGCAGCTCAAATCCTCATCTCTCCCTATGTAAATGCTTTCAAGACATGTTTTCATACCAAGGAATTTCTAAAGGGGTATTCACACTTTAATTTTTTATTCTAAGGCTCTAATGCTATTTATTTTCTTTATAAGATTTGATTTTATTCTACTTTTTTCCTTCAGATTAATCGATTGCTGTTCTGCAATCTCTCATGACTTATATTATTGCCAAAATAGTTTTCTATTTTCTAATCACACAGCTTGCCGGTATGTCATTCTTCCTCACTTCAGTACCCCATTGCGGGAATCCTCACAGATAATGAACACGAACCTAATAGACATGCTCCTCAAGTCTGGTAATGAGAAGGAAAAAAAATTAAACAATTTCATTCATGAGTAGAAATTAGGAACTGTGAATTTCCTCATTTGTCTCATTTAATAAGGTGATTCACATGCCAGCACTTTTAAAACTATAAAATACTACGTAAATGTTGGTTACATTTACAATAATAATAATAACCATCACCACCACTACCATCATAACACTTTCTCTTCCCCATAATTGTACCCTTTGGAATTTGATTCAGATCATAAATGTCATAACTGTGATTTTATCCACTAAAGGCTAGTAGGAAGGGAGCCTAATTAAAACCTAGTTTTGCTGGGAAAACATAGTAGAAAAGGCATCTGTAGATGATAGCCATTTAAAAGGATTTTCCAGATCTAGGATGATACGTCCTGTATGAAGATATAAATGTAAACAAATCATAATATAGCTATTCAAACAATGAGAAGATCTACTGCACACTTTTATTAAAAAGCTAGCTGCCATAGTTCATTTTAACCAAGTCATTTCATGGAATTTAAAGTGACAGATACATTTGGCTTTTATTACATTTTCAGAAAAAAAAGAAAACCTATTATCTGTAAAGAGTAAAGCTGGGGAAAATTAATGAAGGTGGAAAGTTAGCGAGGATTTATCTCAAAAATGTTAATTTTTCTCCAAACCTAAAGATAACTGTCTGATAGAGTCATCAGCAGGGGTTGGTAGGAAGGGCAGAAGGTTTGAGATTGGAAGTTTGCCAAGAAACAGAGTGTCAGGAAGAAGTGGTATCAATGTATGCCACAGTCATCCATGTACTGGAAATACCCAAAAGTCAAAGTCTCTGGCTAAGGACAGTGAAGCTTTACTAAGGAGTAATGTCAGTCATCTTTTTTTTTTTTTCCTGGGATTTTTATTTTATTTATTTATTTTTTTTGGAGCCAGGGTCTTTCTCAGTTACCCAGTCTAGAGTGCAGTGGTGTAATCATAGCTCACTGCAGCCTTGAATTTCTGGCCTCATACCATCCTCCCACCTTGGCCTCCCAAAGTGCTGCGATTACAGGCATGAGCCCCAGTGCCTGTCCCTCGGTCATCTTTTATTTTCCTAAAACAAACCATCAAAAGTCTTCACAAAACATTTTGGTATTGTTTTGCAAAATAGAGTGGTTAATAATGTCTGTAGGAGAACTCATTGTGTTTTCTAGAGACCCTTATAAGCTGTTTCATCATTCCTTAATTCATTAATTCTCTAGTCAAGACTTTCTCTTATCTAAGGTATATGTATATAAGTAGTGCAAAATACTATAGACAATGCAAAACAAAAACCATAAAAAAAACAAAAAACTAGTTGAAAGGAAATATCTGCTCAATATTTCAGCTGTAATGTCTTCATGTCTCTGAATAGGCAGTTTATTGATTTTTCCTCCTCTTTTTTGATGATTTGGCTGCTTGTTTTGTCAACATATAATTTCAGTTTCAGTCTGTATTTTAGGTACATATGATGTCATGAAATCAGTCTTTTTATTCCCCTCAGTCTTTGAATCCACTTTGGAATATCATGGATGCTATTTAATATAATTATTCCTGATCTATACACTTAAAATGTATCAGGTTTTTGTAATCCACTCAAGTACAGATACATCCAGTTCTTTTTTAAATACATTGATTTCAGTTGCATAAAAAATTATAAGATAAAAGATGAAGGCAATAAGAAATAAACATAGATCAAGGGAGAAAATCAAGAAAGGATAGGTTCATAGATAAATGCACGAAGTAATCAAATTAACAAGGATTTTTATGATGGTGTAATTAATGAACTGCAATTTTACATTAGTCTCCAGCAAAAAGAAATATGGAGAAGGAGCAAAGGCAATTATGCATTAATGAAGACTATGATAATGTGACAGCAATATTAGATAGCAGTAATGGAATTAAATTTTATAAAAGAAAATTCCAGAAAGATAACAGATGAAACAACATAACAATATGCATGAATTGTTCTAAGAGAATTGTATCTGCTAACTTTACTACAGTATTACCATTTTCGATATTACTTATAAAAAGCATAAAGATAAAAGGGAACATTTTTATGACATAAATTAGCCCTTTATTTGTATAGATGCTAAAATGTTTAGGCTTTTTTTATTGGTTTAGTTTTTCTAATAAATATTTATCCCAAAATAAATCTGATAGAGGTTTACTTATGACAAAACTAAAGGACCATAGGGATTAAATAAATTTCCAAAAGCACACATATCTGTTAAATAGAGCCAGAGCCCTACATCTGCACTCAAGCCCTCCCTTTCCTAATGCTAACTTCATTTCCTACATGACCACCTGACCTCAACCCTGGTGTGTTAACTTAAAACAATTTCCTTCAATTTACATTTTCTTTTTAATTGTAGTGAAGTTGAATTTATTCTAACATTGTAAGATTTTCTGATGTTTTACCATGTTGAAAAAAATAACTTTCAAGTTCAATTTATTTATTATTGGAAATGAAATCAATAGAGATTATTTACTTTAGCACTGTCTTTGGCATTTTTTTTCTATTTCTAGAAGAGAGTAAGTTATCACTTTTTGAAAGATGAAAATTGTGACTTGGGGAAGTCAGTGACGTGAAATCGGTTCTTTCAGTAATATAGCAGTCATTCTTCACATATAGTCTAACAGTAAAGCTATTCATGCTTTTATAGTTTCTGTCTTTACAGATAAGAATTGTAATATGAAATTTGTTGTCTTTGGAGGGATCTCAAGGAAAAGATATTTACATTCATAACATAAAAATATAGGATAGCTGAATAAAGTATAAAAATGAGATATAGGTAACTAAGCAGATGGGGGTCCCTCGCTGTTCTAATTATCAATAGCTTCCAAAACAAAATTGCATTTTCAAATGAGCTAATGATACAACTTCTATGTACAATTGTTTTCTTAAGATTTCATTCTAGGTGAAAAATGAGAAGATTCAAGAATATGACGTATTTTTGTGAAAACATAGAAATTAGAATTGGAAGTGAATCTTTAATAAGTGATTAAGTATCTTTTATCACACAAATACCTTAACGTGAAGAGTTTGTATTCTAAACTAGAAAGGTACTGGAAAATAAAAGCCATTATTTTCCGCATGTAAAGCATTTTACATCAAAGAAAAAGTAAATTTAACAATAGAGACTTCACTCTGAGGTGCTTACAATAAAATACCTCGATTGTTCAAAATCTCATTGTTGAAAGGAAGACATACGTCAAAAGAAATGATAATATTTGACCAAGTTATCCCTTTGCCTTTGTAACTACCACTATCAGCACTTTGATTTCTTTATCAGATGTCACATTAGGTTTTCTCCAAAAAATGAATGACAATACATATAAGAGCATATGAAGCTTAATTATTTTAAAATTAAAAATATCATACTCAAAAAGGGAAAGAGAGAAGAAGAGAAGTAAAAATATAAATCCAGTATGAAATACAGTATTCAAGAATCCTGCAACTTGGTAAATATTAATACATAAAGCAACACTGTCTATACCCTGAGTGAATATGTTTTATGTGAATATTGCTTTCAGGTTCTTCTCAGGCAAGAGAATGAATGAGAGACTCAATTTGGACACTATGTGAGAATTGATTGCTTAATGCCTTTTAAAATCTCTTTGAAAATGAATTGGTCAATAGAATTCCCCTTTGTTTATTAGGGAGTAGGAAGGCAGTCAGGCCTTCAGGCAAAAACAATAACAGATGGTAAGAAGGAAACAATTCATTTTCTGTCCACCTTAAGGAAGACTTACATTTGAAAGGTAAGGAAGAAAATAAGGTCTCTTGATTTTAATAGTTTCTATACCAGGAGAAGCTGGTGTTAAAGACCCTTCCAAATGTTACAGGTGTTTGCATTCAAATACGATCACACAGCTGCTGGCTGCCACAGAATGGAAGTCATCCTCAGAAGCAATGTGTCACAGATTTTCCCTAAATCCCCAAGCCAAACATCAGCTGTGGCTAAGCTTTTACATTTTTCTTCCTGGAAAGGAAGATCCCTTGGCTCATACCCATGATTATCACTTTGTTACTTAAATCAATTTCAGGTAAAACTGGAAAAAAATAAACATCGTCAGAAATTACATTACTGTGAATAAGGCTTGTCCTACTGGATACAAAGAGATAAACAGTGCCAGATCAGGCCTATTACCGCTGGCTTAATCTCCTGAGAATTTGGGGCCTCCAAGTCCACTCAAATAGTTCTGCCCAAGAGCAACCTAAGGAAAGCCCAGTATCTGCCCTAATCCAGACAATTTTTATACTAAGCACTTCTTCAGCAAAAACACAATGCAGAAGAGACTATTAACTCCCATCTCTTGCTGATTCCAGAATAGAAAGCTGACTGTCTTCTCACTGCACTGATTCTTCCTCTGTATTTTTTCACATCTTCTATTTCTTGGACTGCTACTAGAAGAAAATATTTATTTCAAATTATATAAAATCTCCACCCATACATCTTGAAATCTATGTTGAAATATTTAAGTAGGGGAGAGACTGATATTTTATTGGGTGCACTGCATGTACTTTCTGATTAATTCTATTAACAACCAGGTGGAGTACCTATTACTAGCTATATTTTTGAGAGGAGGGTTATTTTTGTACTCACGGTCACAGAGATGGAAAATGGGGAAAGCCAAGTTTGAGATCACTTTGTCTGACTACAAGGCCATGCTGTTTCCTACAATTCGGGTGCCAAAAAGTAATTCAGGGTAAAGTTTCCCATAAGCACCGGATTATAAAAAACTTAATAACTGGAGAGAGATCGGGCAAGTGAATTTATTGTGGAAATATGCTAAGATTGTGTTGATGAATTTAAATTCAAAACAGTTGTCAGGATTGTATGTACCAAAGGAAGTCATGTCACAAACAAAATTGTGTGTACTTGATAATCTCATAGCATTTATTGGAATAAAAGTCACTTAGTAGCGACTTAATAAATGTACTATAAAAGGCATGACTTTAGTATTTTTAGTTGTATAATTAACATGCAAGATGCCATTAATTTTTCTTTCATTTTACCCATTTATACACATTATCTACTCAGGCTCACCACTTGCTTCCAATTCAGAAGTTCCTCTGTATTCCTTCATATCTTCATTGCATGTCCATCCACATGTTGGCAACTGATCTTCATTTAGAACTCTGAAGTAACTGCAAAACCTAGACTTTTGATGTCAACCCCAAACTTGCTAGTTTTAGAAGAAGACTGTAAGGTATTGGCTTGACTTCTCCAGTTCCTGGCTCAGAGTAGATAGTCAATACATATTTGTGGAATAATTTATGACTTAGAGGTGCCTAGCCTCTATCAGATTGCAAGGCAAGGGGAAATGAGTTCATTCAAAACTTAAAGGATTGTTTTTTCCCCCATCCAGTCAAATAATTGTGTTAGAGAAAATTACGTGCATGCATTACTCTTATTTCGCCACTGTTAAAAAAAGAAAGAGAAAAAATCAGGGGAAAGAGGAGAAGATATAATTAAACCATCATGTAAAAATGGAGAGGCAATATTTTGTGGAAACTCACCAAATGATGAACAGTGGTCAGTAGAACAAAGCAATATTTGGAATTTTGAAGGCAAATAACTTCTGTGTACTTTTATAATGGCTATATAATTGTTTTATGCTTTTCCTATAATATAAATTTATAATTTATAATGTTCAAAGTAATATTTGTGTATTATAAAATGATTAGTTTAACACTCAAGGAGTTCCTCAGAGTTCTGGCAACCAAAAGACAGGAGCACCGACAAGGCAGGCAGTGTGGAGGAGGGACATCACACTGCACAGTAACATTTTTCAAATGTTTTCCATATAGAAGTATATCCAAAAAAAAGATTTATAGAATTCTTTTGTCTTTTGTTGCTAGTGATACAGACCAGGGATCGGTGAATACTGGGTAGAAGACGGCGGTTTCCTGGCAAAGGCCCCACCATCAAGCCTGAAGACCTGCAGCCCTAAATGAGGACAGGTATCTCTGTTTTCACACCCAAAAAACTCCCTTTTGGTCTGCCATGCCCCCATCCTGCCCTCATATAAATCTCGAATCCCACACTCCAGATGTGACCTGCAAGCAAGGAGACGAGGAGGCAAGCAGACCAGCAGACCAGCAGACCAGCAGACCAGCAGACCAGCAATGACGGAATGATGTGGCAGACAAAGAGAGAGGAGGAAGGATGTCTGGACACCGAGGGGAGTTTGGCCAGGGGCAGTCAGAAAAGAGTCCCACCACTGGGAGTCCTGACTGCAGGGGAAGACCACCTTCCCTCTCCATTCCCCCTTCTGGCTCCTCATCCATCTTGCTGAAAGCCATCTCCACCACTCAATAAAACATTGCACTTATCCTTCAAGCCTGCATGTGATCTGATTCTTTTGCGACCCTGGGCAAGAGCTTGGGATACAGAAGGCCCTCACACTGGGGCCCTGCCCTTGTGATAAGGCCGAGGGTCCATTGAGCTGATTAACACACAAGCCATCTGCAGATGGCAAAGCTAAAGGAGCACACTGTAACATATGCCCACTTGGACTTCAGAAGTCGCAGACACACACCCCTAGATGATTCTGTGGGGCTGGAGCCCAAAGGCACTCCTCCCGGTTTCCTGCACCTGCCTGTCTGTGTGCTCACCCTCCTGTAAGGGGTTTGAGCTGTCGGGAGACCAAACAGCCGAGCCGCACCTCTGTTAGACACGTCCTGCAAGGGGAATCAGGGAACTCTTGGAAGTCTTCTGTTTCACTACTATTTTAAACCAGTTATGGAGGTAATTTTTTATTAAAATGTTATTCATGCCTTCTTAAATATTTAATAAATTCTAATTCTCTTGCAGATATAAAGATCATCTGGATTATCCAGTTTATGAATACTTAATAAAATAATAATATTTAAATAATATATAATAAACATCAAAACTGAGTATGATATTTCTTTTTTTTTTTTTTTTTTTTTTTGAGATGGAGCCTTACTCTGTTACCCAGGTTGGAGTGCAGTGGCGCAGTCTTGGCTCAATGCAGCCTCCACCTCCCAGGTTCCAGTGATTCTCCTGCCTCAGTCTCCCAAGTAGCTGGGTTTACAGGCACACGCTACCATGCCCAGCTAATTTTTGTATTTTTAGTAGAGATGGGGTTTCACCTTGTTGGCCAGGCTGGTCACGAACTCCTGACCTCAGGTGATCTGCCCGCCTTGGCTTTCCAAAATGCTAGGATTACAGGCGTGAGCCACCACATCCGGCCTGAGTGAGATATTTCTAAAAACATTTTGTAGTTCATAGATTACAATTATTTCTAAATTTGCATATTCAACATTTGATAAATCTTTCTTAGAAATTAACAGATTGTCTTAAGATGCTGTGTCAAATTATTTGTTATGTAATTATTGCAAAGGCAGTAGATAGTGATGGTCAAGAGCCCAGATTCTGTAGCAAATGACCTGGGTTCAAATCTTGGTTCTGACAGTTACTTGGGTGACCTTGGTCAAGTTACTTGACATCTCTGTCTTGGTTTACTCATCTGTAAATGGTAACGATAAAACACTTCTGATATAGAGTTATTAGAACATTCAATAAAAGAATATATGTAAAACACTTGGAACAATGCCTGGCAAGTATAACAGCCAACACTTCGAGAGTGCTTGCTATGTGCCTGGCACTTCAGTATTAGCTATTATTATCATTATTTATTTATTCAGAAGAAATTGATGACACTGTGATCATTTACTTGTCAATAACCACTGGCAGTAGTGTATTAAATGGTGGTAGAGCAATCAGGCACCCGTGAGATTACAAGTAATAACGTAATAATGTCTTTTTGTGATAAGAAATGCTTAGTTGAAGGTATGTGATTATTAGTCATTAAATCGCTTTGCATGTGCTTTGGTTCTAATTTACCTTATCTCATAAGAACATGTAATAAATTATACAGGGAATTTCTGTTAAAAAATAATCCCACAGTTGTATGAGATTGGAGGAGACTTTTAGATGGTAGGTCAGTGGTCTTGCATTTAGTTGAGCAAAAGCAATTTTGCTTCCATTTCAGGACCGCATTTTGCTCCTCATTATAGTAAGTAATGTAGCACTTTTCTGACTTCTATTTTAACATTAGAATTGGGATTACTATCTCATTAATTTTCAAAGTCTCTGCAAGAAAGTCAGTATAATCATCTTTAGTAATGAGGCACCTCTATGGTAAAAAGTCTTAGTAATTTGTCCATTGTTTCAAATCAAAGAGAGAAGTGGAGGCTTTTAAATTCTAGCAAGGTGTTTATGTTATTAATATTTTCACTTTACAACTATTACAAATTAATAATTTTTTTCTTCTTGGAAACCTAGTATAAATATATTTGTAGGTCATAAATAAAAAATGAGAAATCAACTAAAAATGTTACCTTGTTCAGACTCCATTCGCTAAATTTTTCTCTCATTTTCATTGCAGGACATTTGATTATGACTGATCATGCTATTTGTCAGTATGTACATATGTGTGTACGTATGTATGTATCAATCAACCAATTATTATAGTAGCAATATATTAATTTCATATTACCCAAAATTATAAGCCTGAATGTGTTGAAAACTTGAATTTAAAATTACATATTTCTGCAAAACTTTTTATTTCTTTTTGCCTTTTCCAAAAGCAAACACTGTTTTTGGCTTCTTTCTCTTTGCTTACTTCCATATTTCAAGTCATCCTGAAATGATTCCATGCTGGAATTTTCAAAATAATTTCATGTTGAAATTTCTGCCTTAATATCTCTTGTATAAAACTACCTCCTGTCCTAATGTATCATGTCAAAAAAAAAAAAAAATAAGGAGGTTTCAGCTTTTCCCTTCACAAACTGTGTTTTCCTTTCATATGCAGAAATATGTTACTAGGTAATTATTTTGTCTGCATGTTCATCAGCAAAGGCTTCAGGTGGACGCATTATAAAGTAGGGAATAGTTTTGAAGGGTCCTTAATTAAGATTACCAGCAAGACTTAGAGCTTCTGTAGCTGCATATGAAGCCAAGGACAAGGATATAAATGCATTATCATGAGTATCCTGATGGATCAATGAGGTGTGGATAAGTAGAACAACACATTTTTATCCTTCTTTTGCCATTCTACCCTTCCCCCCAGCCCTTCAGAAGCTGAATATGATTGAGTAAAGGAAGAACACAAAGCACAATGTTCTACTTAATTTATAAAGGATTTCCCCAGGTCATGGAATTATAGCTTTCTTGTTATTTCACATGAACCTTTAAGAGCTATCTGACATACTTGGATTTTTATTAAGAATTCCAGATCACTCGTCAAGGATTTTTCTAAAGTACAGCCTCTGTTATTTACTGCTGCGCGGAGAGAATAAAGACTCTGCTTTGCTCATATTTTATAGGCCCATCCCTGCCATTCAAAGAGGTTTTTCATGATGCTGATGACACATATTATCTTGTCTGTGGGTTTCCTGCCTGTACTACCTATCAGCTGTGTGCATTCCTTCCTTTAAAATAACCATGTTATTTTTAAAGGTGCTGAAAATACATCAACCTACTTGACCCAAACTTATTAACACAAAAGAGTGTCATTCAATGAAGAACCAAGGGTTTAATAATAAAGGAAGATAGAAAACAAAATGCTACTGCTTTATTGACCATATGTATTCATGAACATCACTGTATATGAATGAGAGAAGGAAGTGGTCATGCTTTCCTGTTGATAAAACAAGAGAAAAGGTCCAAAGGTCCTTACCTCCTCTACGTCTCCTGTATGCACTTTTCTCCTGTTTCACCAAATGGGGGGTGAGGAAATGGGAAACAGAATAACACACCCACACCCTTGCTGTGTACAACTTACTTTGGTTTTATAAATTTTATTTTATGTAAATCATAAAGTTCTACTTTTTAAAGTTAAATGTAAATCCTATCATATAAATTGTTGTTTATTGTGGTATGTAACTCAGAGACATGTTTTGAAACATACTTATTAATTTTGTCCTTCTGGATTTTCTTTTTGTTTTAATAGCCATACAGACTGTTCCTTATTGTTTAGCCCAGAATCTGAGCATGAAGTATAAATGTTTGTTAAATTCTTTTTTTATTATTATTATACTTTAAGTTCTGAGATACATGTGCAGAATGTGCAGGTTTGTTACAGAAGTATACACGTGCCATGGTGGTTTGTTGCACCCATCAACCCGTCATCTACATTACGTATTTCTCCTAATACTATCCCTCCCCTAGCCCCCTATCCCCAACAGGCCCTGCTGTGTGATGTTCCCCTCCCTGTGCCCATGTGTTCTCATGGTTCATCTCCCACTTATGCGTGAGAACATGTGGTGTTTAGTTTTCTGGTCCTGTGTTAGTTTATTGAGAATGATGGTTTCCACCTTCATCCATGTCCTTGCAAAGGACATGAACTCATCCTTTTTTATGGCTGCATAGTATTCCATGGTGTATATATGCCACATTTTCTTTATCCAGTCTATCATTGATGGGCATTTGGGTTGGTTCCAAGTCTCTGCTATTGTGAACGGAGCTGCAGTAAACATATGTATGCGTGTGTCATTATAATAGAATGATTTATAATCCTTTGAGTATATACCATAATGGGATTGCTGGGTCAAATGGTATTTCTGGTTCTAGATCCTTGAGGAATCGCCACACTGTCTTCCACATTGGTTGAACTAATCTACACTCCTACCAACAGTGTAAAAGTGTTCCTATTTTTCCACATCCTCTCCAGCATCTGTTGTTTCCAAGTTTTTAATGATTGCTATTCTAACTGGCATGAGATGGTATCTTATTGTGATTTTGATTTGCATTTCTCTAATTACCAGTGATGATGAGCTTTTTTTCATATGTTTGTTGGCCATATAAATGTTTTCTTCTGAGAAGTGTCTGTTCATATACTTTGCCCACTTTTTGAGGGTTTTTTTTTTTTTTGTAAATTTGTTTAAGTTCCTTGTAGATTCTGGATATTAGCCCTTTGTCAGATGGATAGATTGCAAAATTTTCTCCTATTCTATAGGTTGCCTGTTCACTCTGATGATAGTTTCTTTTGCTGTGCAGAAGTTCTTTAGTTTAATTAGTTCCCATTTGTCAATTTTGGCTTTTGTTGCCATTGCTTTTGGTGTTTTAGCCATGAAGTCTTTGCCCATGCTTATGTCGTGAATGTTATTGCCTAGGTTATCTTCTAGAGTTTTTATGTTTTTAGGTCTTATGTTTAAGTCTTTAATCCATCTTGAGTTAGTTTTTGTATAACGTGTAAGGAAGGGGTCCACTTTCAGTTTTCTGCATATGGCTAGCCAGTTTTCCCAACACTATTTATTAAATAGGAAATCATTTCCCCATTGCTTGTTTTTGTGAGGGTTGTCAAAGATCAGATTGTTGTAGATGTGTGGCGTTATTTCTGAGGGCTCTGTTCTGTTCCATTGGCCTATATATCTGTTTTAGCACTAGTACCATGCTGTTTTAATTACTGTAGCCTTGTAGTATAGTTTGAAGTCAGGTAGCATGATGCCTCCAGCTTTGTTCTTTATGATTAGGATTGTCTTGGCTATACGGGGTCTTTTTTGGTCCCATATGAAATTTAAGGTAGTTTTTTCAACATTTCTTTGGGCTAAAAACTCAATAAACTAGGTATTGATGGAAAGTATCTCAAAATAACAAGAGCTATTTATGACAAACCCACAGGCAATATCATACTGAATGGGTAAAAAACTGGAAGCATTCCCTTTGAAAACCAGCACAAGACAAGGATTCCCTTTCTCACCACTCCTATTCAACATAGTATTGGAAGTTCTGGCCAGGGCAATCAGGCAAGAGAAAGAAATAAAGGGTATTCAAATAGGAAGAGAGGAAGTAAAATTGTCTCTGTTTGCAGATGACATGATTGTATATTTAGAAAACCCCATCATCTCAGCCCAAAATCTCCTTAAGCTGATAAGCAACTGCAGCAAAGTCTCAGGATACAAAATCAACGTGCAAAAGTCACAAGCATTTTTATCCACCAGTAATAGACAGAGAGCCAAATCATGAGTGACCTCCCATTCACAATTGCTACAAAGAGAATAAAATACCTAGGAATCCAACTTACAAGGGATGTGAAGGACCGCGTCAAGGAGAACTACAAATCACTGCTTAAGGAAATAAAACAGGACACAAACAAATGGAAGAACATTCCATGCTCATGGATAGGAAAGAATAAATATTGTGAAAAGGGCCATACTGCCCGAAGTAATTTATAGATTCAGTGCTATCCCCATCAAGCTACCATTGATATTCAGAATTAGAAAACACTATGTTTGTTAAATTCTTAGAAAAGAAAGCTCAGAAATCATAGTCATGAAGATTTTGAATGAAAAGTACAGAAAATTATTTTAACCAACATGCTCTAGAATCAATTAGAATTATATATCTGATTAATTGTTCAGTAAAAGAAATATATCCTAACAGTCACAAAGGAGATAATACTTTAGATTTTCACATTGACATATAATATATTTATTGATTGATGCAATAAACCTGATACAAAGCAAATTAGAAAATATAAATAATACTGAACTGAAGATAAAATCCCAAGTCTTCAGGATTGAGCCCTTTTGGGTTTTGTGATACTGTGAGATATATATTTGGTCTTCATGCTGTTTTCTGACATCCAGCTCCTAAAACCTTGGACGATCGGAATAATGAATGTCTTTTGTATGTTAATGAGAAGACTGGTGGCTGGGGACTCCTAGATAGCTTCAGGATGGGGATTGGTCACCAGAAAGACCAAGGTATGATTAGAGGGTTGAGATTTTCAGCCCTATCTCCCAATCTCTGGGGAGGAGAGATGGATTGAAGATTAAGTTGATCACCAACGGCCAATGATTTGATTAATCCTGCCTATGTAACGAAGCTTCCATAAAAACTCAAAAAATTGGGTTTCAGGAGCTTCTAGATAGAGTCCTGGAGGGTTGTGTTCCTGGATGGGGCATGAAAGCTCTGTGCCCTTTCCCTGATGCCCAGTGCATCTCCCCCTTCCGGCTGTCCATCTATATCTTTGTACTATCCTTTACAATAAACTGGTAAACATAAGCAAAGTATTTCCCTGAGTTCTATACTGCTCTAGTAAATTACTCTAACTCAAGGAGGAGAGTGTGGGAGCTCGAGTTTATAGCTGGTTGGCCACGACCAGCTATAGGCCAACACCTGGAGCTTGTGATTGGCATCTGAGGTGGAGGATGGTCTTGTGGGACTGAACCTTGGATCTGATGCTATTTCCAAGTAGGTGGTGTTAGAATTAAATTGAATTTGAGGACACCCAGTTTGTGTCTGCCAGGAAAGTGGATGATGTGTAGGAATCCCTCTGCCCCACATCTAGTCACACAGTATTGTGTTGAGTGACTGGGTGAGAGTGGGAACACACATTTTGGTTGGTTTTTCCTATATCTCAGAACAACCAACACTATATTTTATTTTCAATACACTTAGTGGATAGACCAGGCGTGGACCAACTATGTTTTTATAAATAAATTTCTATTGGAACACAGCAGTGGCCATTAATTTATGTATTATAGTTTTTGAACTAAAATAGTAGATTTTAAATAGTTGTAGCAGAGACCGTGTGTCTGGCAAAGCTTTAAATATTTACTATTTGATCTTTTTCAGAAAAATTTATAGTCTATTTTTGTTTTAAAAACTAGTCTTTGTCACAAAAAAGTGAGCAAGTCATGAATGGCTCAAGTGCTGTAATATTTTTTCTCTTCTTAATTTTTTGGATAGTTTATGAAATTGGAAAAAAATGCCATTTATTTTGGAAACATTAGTGATGCATTTGAAGAGTAACCTCAATAGGCAAAATATGAACTAAATTTCACAACCTTAGTAACCCAGACTGAGAGTGAGGAAGAGTAAG
Organism: Homo sapiens; assembly: GCF_000001405.40. Taxonomy (NCBI): domain Eukaryota; kingdom Metazoa; phylum Chordata; class Mammalia; order Primates; family Hominidae; genus Homo; species Homo sapiens. The sequence goes on along the minus strand of NC_000004.12, from coordinate 90,032,075 downwards.
CATCTTAGTCCATCCATGCTGCCGTAATTAAACACCATAAACTGGATGGCTTATAAACAATAAACATTTATTTCTTACAGTTCTAGAGGCTGGGAGGTCCATGATCCCGGTGCCAGCAGATTTGGCATCTGGTGAGGGTCCATTCCTCATAGACGGCTCCTTCTAGCTGTAACCTCATAGGGTGGAGAGGTAAGGCAGCTCTCTTGGGTCTCTGTATAAGGACACTAATCCAATTCAAGAGAGCTCTGCCCTCATGACCTAATCACCTCCCAAAGGCCTCAACTCTGAATACTATCACATTGGGTATTAGTTTTTGGCATGTGAATTTTGAGGAGATACGAACGTTCAAACTATAGTAGGGAGGTTACTGAAAATTTATCCTTGTTACAATTAATCCACACAACTAAATTGTATTCTATTGCTAAAGATAAAGACATAGAGTCCTAGCGAGGATATGTAACATAAAATGCTAAATACCACACAACTGATCAATGGCAGAGCCAGGTTTCAGACCCAGGTTTGTTTAATTCCAAAACTTGGACCCTCACGCCTGCTTCATGCAACCTCTCACATCTAACATATGTATCCAAGGCAGCACAGTGCTTTCTGTTGGTGCCACGTAGTTAGGGGTTTAGGTCCACGAAGCCAATTTATTATTCAAATCTTAGAATAGTAGAGGGTAGAAGACGAAGGATTCTTCTTGTGGGTTTTTCCAGCATTTCTGTGAACTACCAAGGTAGGGACTTTACCCTTTTGGAATAATTACACTGTAATTTCTACCCTTCCCAAACCTTCTTCCTTACTTCTCCGGAGACAAGGAGGGCCTGCTCCACTCTTTCTAATTTTTCTTTTCCATATCAGCTCCTCTGCAGGAAGCTCAGGATCTTTTCCTGCTTCTTTCCTCAAGGGTGCCCTCTTGAGGGAAGCAGCATTTGTTCAACTGCTCTGAGTGTGACTGGAGGTATCAGTTTAACCGAGAAAAGGGAGTCCAAATAGCCATCCGAGGCTCTGTCAGCAATATGTGTGATATTTTTATCTCCATCTACACTTCCTAATTTGGAAGAAATTGGGATATAGTCTATCCACCCACTCAGACTCTAGAATCAAAGACATTACCAGATGATCAACATCTTTTTGTCACAGGCATGCTATTCTCAGTTCTCATCTAACATTCTACTCTTTTAGAGGCACAGAATCTTATGACTGCAATGGGGATCTTAGCAGTCCTCCAATTCAGGCTTCCCTGCAATGCATAATTCCATAAACACCGTCTTCTTGGTTTTGATTAGGGGATTTGTGCACGTTACCCATGAAACTGCCACATAATAGAAAAGTGGGCACACATTTGCTCTGCTTATAAGGTCACAGTCCTTGAAGCTGTGCAAAAGTCTCACCATCCTAAGTGTGCAGCCTTCCAGCTCTAGTATTAGAAATCAGCTATTAATCCCACTGGGGCAGTGAGAGCACCAGAGACAAGATTTCTTGTCTATAGTAGTCATGCTGTCTTTTGAAATCCCTGTGTTTTTCAAGGGATTTTTAAATTTCTGAAGCAAAAAACTGAAAACAAAAACAGAAGGGAAATGAAGGAGTGGTAAAACCTTAGAAGTCTATCCCTAGAGCCTCTAGTGTCCCCTGGGAGTCTTTTTTGGCTCACATGTCGCTCTGCTATTGGAAGGAGATGGGTAGATAAAGCAAAAGGTCTTCGGTGACCAGTATTGGTTTCTCGCCAGGGCCAGCTTCATGGGACTGTAACCTGTGCAGTGCCATTTGATTTAATACTCAGCTGTCTCCATCTCAGAATTATTAATCATTTTTAAACAGGGGACTTCATGTATTCATTTTGTACTAGGCTCACAAATTAATGAAGCTAGTCCAGGTTCTCATTAATGTGAACTTTTGTTCCATATTACATTTCCCAAATAGCATGGAATATGTATTTTTTGTTTGCTTCGCTTGTTTTTAGAACAAACAAATGACTTTTTAAATCACTTACCAAAGGAAGCAGAGCAAACAATTAAACTACGCCAGCACTGAATATGTTTCAGGCTTTGTGTTTATTTTATTTGCTTTTTGTTTGTTAAAATTTTAAATCTTTTAAAAAATAAAGCAGTAACAGAAAAAAATAACTTTTCCACTGAATCTGGAGAAATATATCAGTAAGCAGAGAATATTTATTTTCAAACTAAAAAGAGTAAAACCTCTGGAGTTAATGCTACATTTGTCCAAAAGTTGTCCTTAAAATTAGGTTTCAGGTGGAGGCTGGTAAATTGAGGAGAGATAAGTAAGTGCTTTTCTGAGGTTTAAGCGCTTACCACATGCAGAGGTGGAATAAATCATTTATAAGCTTTGTGACTTTGGGTAAATTAGTTAACCTCTCTGTGTCTCAATTTCCCTCAGTAAAATAGAGATAGCAGCAAAACTTTTCTTGTGAGACTATTTAATAAATAATGAGCTATTATATGTACAACACTTAACATAACACTTGGCAAAAAGGAAGCACTTGATACTTTGAAATATAATTATTCCCAAATGCACCTAGTACATTCTCTTGTATATGTTAGGAGATAAAAGAAATATTAATTGAATTGTTAAATTTTAAAAAACTGAGAATATATCAAGATGTATCCAAGAAAAACTTTGTACTGACAAACTGTATGGAACATTTTCTTCTCTACTTTATTTGTTGTATTAGTCTTTCAATAGTGACTCAGTAAACTGGGACCTTAGATGATTAACATTTTTTCTTTGCCTATAATGCCCTTAGATTTTCTTAAAAGAAACTATACATAAATTCCTAGACATCAGCCAATAATATTCTTCCTCTTTTAATCATTTGTATTAGTTTTTAAAATTTAAAAAAATTAGGAGCCACTCTTCAACGAAAGTATTATTTTTAGATCTCAAATTTATAAAGTTGACTCGTATATACAATTACTAATTGAAATATGTTTGTGTGTGGCCTTCATTACTCTGTGTAGAATAAGAACAACTTAAGACCATACACTGATAAGAAATATCAAATATCAAGACCCAGTTAATAAAGGGTGCTGGATAACTGGTTATCAGTCAACCTTTGTATGTGGGTATGGGATTTGTTGTAAAGGCTTTGAAAGCACAAAGCCTCCAAGGCAAATGAGAATAATAATCATAATCCCAATCATAAGCCTAATAACACAGGGGTGATTAAATATTACTCTCTGGGGAAGAAATAGATTGATTCTTTCTCATAAAGAGGGTAAGACACATTTCCCACAAATATGGCATAAAATATATGGCTAAAGTTGGGTTTCGAGCGGAGGCTGGTAAATTGAGGAGAGATAATTAACTGCTTCTCTGAGGTTTGAGCACTTACCACATGCAGAGGTGGTTATATTGACTAAGCATCTAATTTGGTATTAGCACATTTTAGCTGCTGAATAGATGTGACCTCCCTTTTGTTTCCAATCTGCTAGCAACCACCTAGTTAGATTCTATCATCACACCTCCTGTCACCACTACCAACAATCCCCTTCCATCAACCTTAAGGTACACTCCCATATTTAAATAGCAGACATCCATGAACCTGGAGCCTTCTGAATGATGGCTGTGGAAGAGGTCACCTGTACCTGCAGTCCTCCACTCTGCCTTTCTCTGCCCTCAGCCAGCTCCATTTCTTTAATTATAAACTATTTTAGTTCTTCTGGTTTCTTTTGTAAATTATTGCCTATGAATGCTGCACTCTTCTTCTGCATGTGTGCAATGAACTCAGAAAGTCACTAAAGGCTGAAAATCAGTATTTATTCACACATCTATTGCAAAACCCATTTTTACCCACATTTTTTTCATTTGACCATTGTTTAGGAAGAAACAATGTTGTGTCATCTCTTGTAAAAAGAAAATTATCACATTGTAATTGTACTATTGAATCATTAACACAAAATCATTCACATAGAAGCTAACAAATAATTACTTCAGTGTAACAGGTTTAGTTTGCACCAAGGCAGATTAGGACAGAAATAATATGTCTGTATTATCCACTATCTTCAAAGATCAAGAAACTGGATAAACACGAATACCTCAAAATAATAAAAATAATATAAAAGCTACCCAGGTAACAAAAATATTATTTTTTTCAGCTCTTTCAGGTGACTGTGTTAATTGACTTGGTTTATCCACTTGGTCCACACATCCTGAGTGATCAAAAAGAAAACAGGTACAATAATAATTTTTAAAAATGTAATGATTAAAATGGTAAACGCATTTAGTTAATTGGTGCAGTCATCAATGTTTATGTTCTAGTTCTGCTTTATTTCAAGACGAATCATTTACTGGAAACCCCCAGTAAATTCATACCTTAAGGAACCACAAGTTTATCTTCACTTCCTTATTACTAAAGGAGAAGTCAATTGCTGCACATTTGAAAATGTCTCTATAAGTCAGACTAGCATAAATTAAAATATATGCATCAAATTATATAACCAATTTAAAGTAGGGCATAGAAATATAAGCCAGGCTTTGTTGTTGTTGTTTTCTTTTGTTTTTTGTTTGTTTTGGGAAAGGAAGTAAACTAAGACCTAAAGATGAGAGATTGGTTAGGATAGGTCCAACATACATATTTTTAAAAATTAGAAGCACTGAGTCCTTATCTTATATCTCCTCCTTTAGGCCTTGTTGCTCAATGTATGTCCTATAATTTTATATTAATTTTCAGTGATACCGATGAGTTTTTCAAGTAAAATGAAATATACGTAAGATTTTTAGATATGCATTCAGTAAACTATGATACTATAACCCAGTTGAGTAAATGGAGAAAGAAGAAAGAAAAAGGAAGAAAAGGAGAGGAGGACAAGGAGAAGGAAAACAAGTCATGGCTCCAGGGAAGCATTGTTCTGACACTGATGTGTGTCAGCTAAGTAGGAAACAATGCAAGACAGATGTACTCAAGGGTGCACAATCTGTTTCTTTATAAGGTACTCAACTTTCCTGATGATTCCATGTGAGCATAATCTCCCTCTCTCTGTTTCCTTTTTCTATGTAACATTCCAGCTCCTCGATGTTAAACAGAGTCAATATTTTAAGACTGTGTGTAGTTTCCATTTTATTTGAAAAAGAGACACAAAAGCATTAAAATACTATGGGCTGCAGGGCACTAGTTATTTATAAAAATTAATACTTATTAGTTATACTCAGAGGTTAACTAAAGCTATATATAAACATGTAAGTTTTGAGACTATCAACAATTTTAATTACTTAAGATGTTTAGAGTTGACAAAATGTTTGGTGTCAATGATAGTAACCCCAGCGGTCTTGCATTCACTAACATTGGAGGGAATCAAATTGGGGTTACCCTAGGAAAAGACTTTTCTTGGGGAAAAAATAACTCCTTATGAACAGAAATAGTCTTATATTCTCAGAGTCCTTTTGCTTCTTTTGTCTAGAGCCTTGTCTCTCCTGATACTGTAATCACATTTAATTATCTTTGCTTGAGTATTTAAAAAATAGCAGAACCTAAACCTTGAATGAACTCATTACTTACATTCTTATTACTATTTTTCTGTATTTGAAGTTAAAATAACGTATTTTTTAAAAGTAAGACCAAAGTGTCCTGATTTAAACAATTCGGTAATAAAATATTACTTGTGGCTCTTATTCCATATACACCAAATTTGGAATAACCAGTATCAATTATCAATCATCTTGACTTACTCCATCATAATTTTTTAAAAGCTGATATAGCATGTAAACTTACATTTCTGAGTTTTTGCTTGGTTTTGGTGCATATCAGGTGTACAGTGGCTTATACAAAATTTTTTAAATTTATGCTGCTGGAGATGGATATTAGCATATGAGCCTGTGACTTCTGCTTTTTAACAGTACTTTTCCATTTTAAAAGCATAACCTTTAGATGTGTGCAGACACCACATATCTGCAATTATATAATTACTTGATGCATATGCATAATGTTGAAATTACAGATGCTCCTCTATGCTCATTTAGCTGAGAGTGTGAAAAACACCATGGTTCCGTCAGTTCATTGAAAGTAGCTAGAAGATTAAAATGTTCACAGGTGTTCTTAAGCCACTAACCAAAATGGTCAATAGACTAATTTTTATTGCTTCAGTCCAACTCACTTTGTTTAAAAATGTTCTCTCAGAAACATTTTAATTTCTGCCCAAATTAGATATTCAGCATATGTGTTCATATTAACTTTAGACTAAAGCATAGATTAATAGTTTGAATTTTTGTTAAATAAATAAATGTTAGGTGACCACTTTTTTTTTTTTTTTTGCTAACTCTAGGTCCAGAATTGAATATCAAAAGCAGAAATACCAGACCAAAATATAATCAGAACAAAATAAGGGGTAAAATTTTCAGCCAAATTTTGCAGAGCAAAATAGATATTTTAAATTGATGTTGTGGTTTAGTGATGGTAGTATTCGAGTCTATTTTGATTTTCATTTAGACATGAGATATTTAAGAGAAAATGTTAATATGGGATGTGGTGTTGGTGGTTTTTTTATTTTTTCGGTTAGACTCAGTTCAAATAAGGTAAGATCTTACAGAACCAAATATGGCTTTTTTCTTTTCTTTTTCTTTTTCTTTTTAAATTTCCTTTTGGTAGATTAGAAGAAACAAAGGATATGCATATGTGCCCTCTGCTGGCAAAGTAAAAATCATGACCATTTTCTAGAGACAATAAAAACAAAATCCTGGAAGCAGAACAGTGCATTATATTCAAAGATGTTTTACAGAAGGAGCAAAACAGATTTGAATTAATTAAGTAAATGTCTTAAAAGGACTGAAGACAAGTTTGGTATTGTGGTTTATAGCAAAGCTAAATGAAGTTCTTGAAAAATTAGAATGTTGTTTTTTAGTCTTAAAATTGTTATATTAATTTGTTGAAAATAATGAAACTGTAACATCTAGTTTGGTAAATTCCATTAAGGTTTTCAGAGACAAAATAAAGCTAGATTACTTTGTGAGAGTAATTCAAGCTTTCTAGGCCTCTAACAATAATTATAGTGCATTTGCCTCTCAATCTTAAATACTGGATAAATTTTCTATTCATAGAATTAATAGAATACTGGTATTTTGAACTAAACTGCACTGCTTTAACATTTTCATCCTCTTAAAATCTTGAAAAATAATACTTGAAATGAATTTGTATAACCTTATCAAATTGAAGAAGCACGAAGATTTTTAAAAACAAAGGCTTCATAAAATTAATCTACCCCAGAAATTTTGTAAAAAATCAACAAATGTTTTCCAAACTGAAAACATTTGCAGACAATAAATAAGAAATAAGGATATAATCAATGCATTAGTGTCAACTCAGGAGAATGTAACAAATGATGCCCTGAAGAGTTCATCTGAGGCCTGGTGTTTGTCTATCTTCTTATCAAGTGTCAGGATGATAAAACATAGAACATACTCTTTAAATCTGAAACTGGCTTTAAGGAGCCAAAGATTGATTCAGTCCCAACATGGAGAATGATGTTTTGGAGGTAAAAAGTACCTCAGGAGTTAATCTACCCAAACTTTCTTATTGTATAAAGGAGGAAACTGAGGCCCAAAAAGATTAGAGGAAACTACAGTTAAGCAAAAAAAAAAAAAAAAAACAGAGACAGAATAAAGTTCAATTAAGACAAGTATGGTGCTGTATGTTAGAGAAGAAAAACAAAAATATCCCATAAGTCCAACAGAAAAATGGCTTAGGAGCATAGCTCACAACAAGTTGACCGTGAATCACTAATATGAGGGGAAAGTATAAAATTTTTATTAAAAAATACAATAAAATACTGAAGAGAATTCAGAAAAGGCAGTAAAATGTATAGCAAAAAATATAATAGGTGTAAATAAGGGTCAGATAATTTATTCCTTATGCTACTACCAATTAGTTATAACTCGATCAGTTACTTAATCAATCTGTCACTTTCTAAATATGTAAAGTAAATTGGTCATTCACATGACTGTCTCCTATTGACTTTTAATGAACTGCACAGTATTGGCTGGCACACACACTAAAAGTGGGCTTCTTCTACATATGAGCGGCACACACAATGATACATAGATGATTCTTAAAACTATATACTATAAATGTAGTTAAAACTATATAATTTTACAAATTTGACAAATATTCACAAAACTAATTATTGGGCTAGAAAGAAAGTAAGGATGTTGTGATGGTTAAGGTTGAATGTCAACTCGATTGGATTGATGGATGCAAAGTATTGTTCCTGGGTGTGTCTGTGAGGGTGTTGCTAAAGGAGATTAACATTTGAGTCAGTGGACTGGGAGAAACAGACCCACACTCAATCTGGGTGGGCACCATCTAATCAGCTGCCAGCATGGCTAGAATAAAAGGAGGCAGAAGACTTTGGAAGGACTAGACTGGCTGAGTCTTCCGGCCTTTATCTTTCTCCCATGCTGGATGCTTCCTGCCCTAGAACAGTGGACTCCAAGTTCTTCAGCTTTTGGAATCTTGGACTTACATCAATGGTTTGCCAGGGGCTCTCAGGCCTTCAGCCACAGACTGAAGGCTGCACAATCGGCTTCCCTACTTTTGAGGTTTTGGGACTTGGAGTGACTTCCTTGCTACTCAGCTTGCAGACAGCCTGTTGTGGGATTTCACTTTACGATCATTTGAGTCAATTATCTTTAAACTCCCTTTCATAAATACCTCTGTCCCAATAGTCCTGTTCCTCTAGAGAACCATGACTAATACAGATGTTTTTAGAGAATGTGGGGTAAGGGAGACAAAATAGAAAAGAAGAAATCTTTTTTCAATGTGACTATGCTCTTTTTTCATCACAGTTTAGTCACTAGAATATCAAATACGCCCAGTCTCTCATTTTAAATAGGAATAATTGGAAATGCAAAGAGTTAAGTGATCTGGTTAAAGTTAAAAGTTAGCAAATATCAAAGCTGTAGAACCCATGTGTGAGTTATTTATATTATCCTTAATAAATTAACAAGCTTTTCTCCATTACTGTGGCTAGAATGATAGGATTGAAGACAAGGGAAGTTAATTCCAGTCTGTCTACCCTCTTATAAATAAAAGAAAACCCACAATGACTTAGCATTTATTTGACCATCAGTTTCTTATATTTTAATTTTAAAGTTATTTTTTTCATTTTCACTTCACTTGCATATTTTCTTAATGGCATTGGACATTTATTTTTGTTAGTTACAGCTATAGCTAATTTTTGAATGTTAGATGAATCTTCTAAGAGAAAATAGTGGAGTATATTTTACAGAGATATATTGAATTTCCTAAATGGCCACATTAAAAGTCATGCAGAGCAAAGAAGACAGTAACACTGATGTTCATTAGTAGATTTATTTATTAGTAGCCTAGCAGCTTTAACAGACATCCAATCCATTCAGATATTATGTTTATGTTTTCTTAGAAAAAAATTGAAACACTAATCTGCCAAAAAGTGATATTGAAGAGATACACAATGATTTTAATATATGTAGGAAGTATACGTATAATACAGAAAATATTCAGAACACAGAAGCATGCCAATTTTGTAAGTAAAAAGTCATAAAAGGCCATTTGCCAGATGGAAGGGTAGTGCAGCAAGATGTAAAAGTGTCTGAGGTAAGGAAATACAGCAAGAGACATGACACAGTTGATCAGAAAAAGGACCATAAAGATGAAGTTTAAGCTCTTATGAATATAACAAAAATAAGGTCAACTTGTACACCAAATTAAGGACATAGAAATTCAAGGGGTGACTGTTTAGTTATTAGGTGGCAAATGCATAAAAAAGAAAATTACAGATATAACAATTGGTATACATGTTCTTTGAGAATATGTTAGAAAGGGTGAAAGCCAAATTTGAAATAATGTGAAAAACCTGTTAATAGACAGAGGGTACCTAACCAAGGCACCATCAGATCATCAGAATTGCAGGCTATCCATGTCATTTGCAATGAGCCTTAAATTGTTGTAAACTTTAAGTAACATTGATGTAAAGGGAAGTAATGACTACTATGAGGGACCAAAAGCCAAAAACTCAGTTGTAATTCTTCCACTTATATATAGGGCTGAAGTCTCTAGAATATAGTTAGACTTCCTCTGAAGGATAAGGAGAGTTTTGGATGGAGTGAGATGCCCTCGTGGTACTATGCTTTATTTTCAGGAAGAGAAAACAGACAAGTCTTACTGCCACTGGAAATCTTGCTAGTGGCCTCCCTTATAGGGCTACTTCCAGTTTGCTGTGTGAAGGCAATGTGACTATGCTCTTTAACCTCACTTTGAATATCCAGGAAGTGCTCTGGGGTGAGTGGCAGTCCCATGCCATTATTAAGATAAAGAATTCTGGGGTTTTTTTGTTTTTTCATTTTTTTCCATTTTCTAGGTTATTTTGTTTTCCTATGAAATCTAGTGGTGCAGAGTAGTTAGTTATAATACTCGCTGATGCTTTGCATTTTCAAGCAAGGTAAGATTCTATAGTCAGAGGTGATTTTTAGTTTTTTAAAATTAAATAAGTTTTGTTTATTTTTTTGAGACAGAGGCTGGCTCTGTTGCCCAGGCTGGAGTGCAGTGAGTGGCTAACTGCAACCACTGCCTCCCTGGTTCAAGCAGTTCTCCTGCCTCAGCCTCCCGAGTAGCTGAGACTACAGGCACCTGCCACAATGCCTGGTTAATTTTTTGTATTTTGGCAGAGATGGGGTTTCACCATGTTGCCCAGGCTAGTCTCAAACTCCTGAACTCAGGCAATCTGCCTGCCTAGGGCCTCCCAAAGTGCTAGGATTACAGGCATGTGCCACTGCACCTGGCCTATTTTTTTTTTTTTTTTTGGTAAAATTAAGTTAATTTTATAGAGTAGCCATATGTAAAGAAAAATATCATGACCAGTTGTGTTCAGACAGATCTATGGTTATAATATACATTTTCTTAGTGGATAAATGTCCAAGGTATTGGAAAACTTTAGGACCGAAGTCCTGCAGATTTTGATCGACAGCATCAATTGTTTCTAAAACATCCTATATGCTCCTGCATTGTTCCACCATATTCCATGGACGGTTTTTCAAACAGACACTTGATCACACTTTCCATCTAGTCTAGCTCTATCTTGGTCCACACATCCACCCTGTGCCCTCCAGTAGCTGAGCATTTCTCTAATCCATACATTTAGCATTGTAGGTGAGAGGACAATCTCAGGATGATGTAACTGATTAACCCTGGTGGCACAGTGCCCATGATGCTCCTAAGCCTTCAAACTGTAATTTGAGGGTCTATTTCATGGCAATTCAAGAAAATGTTCCCTCTCTTGAGAAGAAACAAAATGGAGTTCATATTATAGTAAACTTTCTTCCATAATACTTTAACCAGGTATGTACTAAGTTATAAAATTATAATTAACCAATCCTGCAATGTACTTCTGCCACAGCATCTAGATTACCAATGACTTTTCCCAGTACATTCTTGAGGCTTTCCTATCAATAACTAAGGGATGAAGATAGGTGTGAAATGGAGAGAAAGTCTCATTCACCTATTTAGGTTAAGTGCCGTGCCTTGGCTTGATTTACAGTCTTATCAAGACCACACAAAATTGGGTCGTGACAATTTCCTAAAATGAATTTTGGCTGCTTTTGCCAGAAGAAGAGGGATTAGGAAGGTCTACAAAAACCTAAATGTCTGCACCTTCAGCTTCTGGCTACTGAACTTGAATCAATTCATTTTTTTCCCCTTGTCTCTTAGATGGTTTAAAATACCCACCTTCACAGTACACACACATCATTCTTTTCTAGAATTTTATCATATCCTCTTTGTATCAAAGGGATTCGGCTACAAAGATTTCTCTAAATAGCAAAGAATGGATTTATTTCAAGGATAAACCAGATAAAGTATTCTTCCCTCAAAATCAACATGCAACTAAGGATCTCTTCGTATTTTTGAGTTAAGTGAATATAAACTGTTGCTCCTCAAGAGATATTAGTGTGTAACAAGAATAGCTGTAGTGAATTTCTATTGGCTAATTAAAGTAATCTTTCATATAAGTGTGCATTTTTAATAACATCACCATTAAACATAAAAATGAGACAGGGTAGAAATCCTTTGATTGTGATTGATACTCTTAGAAAAAAGACGAGAATAAAATATATTTTATTTTAAACAACAGGACCTTCATCTTCAGGAAAAGCTGAGTGACAAAAATTAATATTCATTATAAGTAACTCTGAAAAGCGATCTGGACATCAGTTTACACACATCTGGAAGGAACTAAAGTCTAGTAATGAGAAATAATGCACTTGTGAAGCATACAATCAGATATAGATTAATACTACTTTACTGCATTTGTCAGGTCAGCACAAATAAATTATGAATCCTCTTAGAGAGCTGAGAAAAAGTGATTTCCTTTAAAATAGAAACTATTATTAATATGCTAATAATGTGTGACTGATGAAATCTATAATTCTAATCATATATGGAACAGTATAGGCTATATTTAGATGCTTAGTTAGTAGTTATATATTAAAATAGAAGGAATGATTTTTAAATGTTTGTTTCCAAAACAAATGATGATTTCCACTCACATTTAATGTCAATGAAATCTTGAGTTTATTCATAATAATCTGTGTATGAAGTATACATAAAAAACACATTTCATTTTTGAGGTTAAAATAATTTATATATTACTTTCAGATCAAAATACACAACAATAAGAAAAATAATTTTAAGAATAATCTGCAATTTATTTTGAACAAATCTGAATACTGGTTAAAAAATATTTCAAACTTTATTAGAAGTTTAAAATATCAGATTTAAATTATTTCAAACAAAAGATACTGCTACAAAACTCAGTGTGAAAGACTGTTGCTGGATTCATAAATGTAATGGAATTGCACTATTGAGCTACCTCATATTGAGAGTATTAAGAATATAAAATAATTACTGGTGTATTTATTTATTTTTATTCATTTATTTTTTAAGTACACCATTTCTGGTATATTTAAACTCATTTTCACTTCTCATAAATTGCCTCTAAAGAATGTATTTACAAAGCATTAAGGACCTGTGGACCTGCTTATCCAAAAAATGTCCACTAGGTTTATGAGACTGGACAGTTCACCATGCCAGTGGTAATGCATACAGAAATCTGGCTGGCTGAAAAATCTTACGAAAATCACTCAACTTCTCTGGTCTCATATTTCTGATTGGCAGAGCACTAGGATTTCTAAAAGTTCTATTTTAGCTGATATCTATAAAAGGAAGATGATGGGAGCATTGGTATGGCAAATGAGGATCAGAGATCTCTATAAATCATAAGTGGAGGATAAACAAACTTTGTAATGCTCTTCTTTATCCCAGTAACTCCTCTTGCTTTGAATTCTGCTGTCTAAGTTTAATATGGCCACTACTGCTTTCTTTGGGTTAGTGTTAACATAGTAAATTTTTCTCTGTCCAAAGTGAGTTTCTTGTAGACAACATATAGCTGAGTTTTATTTTTTGATACACTCTGACAATCTCTGTCTTTTAATTGGTATATTTAGGCCATTTATATTTAAAATAAATATCTACCATATTTGTTATTGTTTTTAATTTGTTCCCCTTGTTCTTTGTTCCTATTTTTGTCTTCTGCTCCTTTCTGCCTTTTGTGGTTTGGGGTATTTTATATGATTTTATTTTCTTTCTGTTCTTAGCATATCAGTTATACTTCTTTTTTTCCCCCGTTTCTTCCCGAGAACTTGCAACATACATTTACAACTAATTTAAGCCCACTTTCAAATAATATTTTACCACTTAATGGGTAATGTGAGAACCATATAATAACAAGACAATCCTAATTCTCCCTCTTGTCCCTTGTATCATTACTGGCATTCATTGCACTTACATATAAGCATACATATGCAGATGTACTAAAATACATTGCTGCCATTATTATTTTGAACACACTGTCGTCTGTTAGATCAATTAAGAATAAGAAAAATAAGTTTTTATTTTACCTTCACTTATTCTATCTTTGGTGCTATTCCTTTCTTTATATAGATCTGAGTTTTTATCTATATTATTGTTTTTCTCTCTAAGAGACATTTCTTTTAACATATCTTGTAAAGCAGATCTGCTAGAAAGACATTCCCTCAATTTTTATTTGTCTGAGAAACTATTTCTCCTTCACTTCTAAAGGATAATTTTGCAGAGTATGGAATTCTAGGTTGGTTCTGTCCTCAATGTTTTAAATATTTTATTCCTCCTGTTATTGCTTGCATGGTTTCCGAAGAGAAGTTGGATTAATTCTTATCTTCATTCACCTAGAGATGAGTCTATAGGTAAGATGTTTCTTCCCTCTGATTCTTTCAGGACTTTTTCTTTATTTTTGATTTTATGTAATTTGCAAATGATATGCCTAGGTTTTTGCAAATGTTATGCCTAGATTTTTCGTTTTGTTTTTCTTTTTTCTTCTTCTTCTTCATTATCCCACCTGGTGTCCTTTGAGCTTTCTGGATCTGTGGGTTGGCGTCTGACATTAATTTGAAGGAAATTCTTGGTCATTACTGTTACAAATATTTCTTCTGTTCCTTTTTATTTGTCTTCTTCTTTTTCATCTTTGTTACCTTTGTTGCCTTTCGGCTTTGCAAATTTCTATTGAGTTATGCTTAAGGTCAGAGGTTCTTTTCTCGACTATGTTCATTCTACTGATAAGCTCACCAAAAGCATTTCTGTTACAGCACTTTTAATCTCCAGCATTTCTTTTTTCGGTTCTTTCTCAGGATTTATTTATTTTTGCTTACATTTCTCATCTGTTCTTGAATGCTATCCACTTTATTCATTAGAGCTCTTAGCATATTAATCACCATTATTTTTAATTCCTGGTCTGATCATTTCAACATCCCTGACATGTCTGGTTCTAGTGCTGGCTCTGTCACTTCAACCTGTATTTTTTGTCTTTGGTATGCCTTGTAATTTCCAGACATGATGTACTAGGTAAAAAGAACTGCCCTAAATAGCCTTTAATAATGTGGTAGTGAGGTTTAGTGGCGGGGGAAGCTTTTTATCTATGGTTAGGATGGAGTGGTAACTTCTAAGCCCCTTACATGCAGAACCAGAAACCAGATGTCTGAAAAAATTTTTTGTGTGTCTATTAGTTTGCCAGAGCTGCTATAACATAACACCACTGACTGGGTAGCTTTAACAACAGACATTTGTTTTCTCACAGCTCTGGAGGCTATAAGGCCAAGATCAAGGTGTCAGTAGGTTTGGGTTTTTTCTGAAGCCTCTTGTTGGCTTGGAGATGATGTCTTCTTCTTATGTCTTCACATGGTTGTCCTCATTCTGTATGATCTGTGTCCAAATCTCCTCTTCTTATAAGGACATAATTCATATTGGAAAATGGCCCACCTATAAAACCTCATTTTACCTTAATTAGCTCTCTAAGGTCCTTTCCCCAAATACAGTTACATTCTGAAGTACTAGAGTTTAGGACTTCAGTATATCACTTCCTGGGGGAGGAAGGGACAAAACTCAGCCCATAACAAGGTGTATTTATAAGTAACATCTCTTTGTAAATGAACTAGGGCAACAAACAATTAGAAGGCAATATGTTGAATCTTTTTCACTAAATCATATGTCCTTAATTGATCTTGGAAACAGCTCAGTCCATCTGTCCATTGAACATGGAAGAAATACAGTCTTGGCACATGGAAGTGATTTGTTCATATTCACTCTGCTGTGTCACTTCACAGAAGTGCTTAATATGTGTTCCATTTACTGATTGGTTCAACATAATTTATTACATATCTACTAGGTTTTCAACACTGTGAAATGTGCTGTGAAGTCTGTGGCAAGTACTAACAGAAATGGTCCCAATCTTCATGGAGCTTACAGCCTAACAGGGAGTCAAAGTAGTACAAAATAGTCATGCCAAAAATGTAAAACGTAACTGTGATAAGGAATACAAGAGAGGCCGGGCATGGTGGCTCATGCCTGTAATCCCAGCACTTTGGGAGGCTGAGGCAGGTGGATCACCTGAGATCAGGAGTTCGAGAGCAGCCTGGCCAATATAGTGAAACCCCATCTCTACTGAAAATACAAAACATTAGCCAAGTGTGGTGGCAGGTGCCTGTAATCCCAGCTACTCAGGAGGCTGAGGCAGGAGAACCACTTGAACCCTGGAGGCAGAGGTTGCAGTAAGCTATGATTGCACCACTGCACTTCAGCCTGGCCGACAGAAAGATACCCTGTCTCAAAAAAAAAAAAAGAAATTCATAGTTCTATGAGAACCTGCAATAAGATGACTTAGTTGAGTTCATCAGAAAGATTTTCCAACAAAAGTAAACTTGAACTGAGACGGGAATGATGGGCAGGAATTTACCAAATGAGGAAGGGTGAGAATGTTTCGTACAAAGGCTCCATGGTGGGAGGTGTATGAGGAGCTACCTGATCTGTAGCCCTGGTTCCTTCTGTGACCTTTCTCTGCTCTCCCCTTCACCCTTTCAGCATCAAATGCTGTGCCCTCCCTGACATTCTCAGAGTATGCCAGCTTTGCTCCCATCTTAATGCTTTAGTCCCCTCCACCAGATATCTCCTGAGCCAGCTGCTTCACAAGCATCAGGTCCACATTAGCAATGGAGTCTATCCTGACTGTCCCATTTTCCATAATCCTCCAACCTACCCCACTCCATGCTTATCCTGCTCTATTTGTCTATTTGTTTTTCCATAGGACTTGTTACCTTTTCACATAGTTTAGAGTTTATATAGTTAGTGTTTATCGTGTATTCATTAACTGCTTAGTTAGAATGTAAGCTTGGTTGATAGCAGTGATCTTTGTTTTGTTTACTTACATATATCCAGTACCACAGAAAGGTATATAATAGTCACTCAAAAATATTTATTGATTAAATTCACTGATTTATTAATTGCTGAAAAAAAGTTTGTGTCTGCAGCACAAAGTTTGAAGAAGTAGTTAGGGGCCAGATCTTGCAGAGTCTTGTGAGTTTTGTTGCAGAGAGAGACAGAGAGAAAGAGAGTCTGTGCAGCAAATCCATTAAAGAATTGTAAGAAGGGGAAATAACATGAGCAAATTTAAGTTTTGAAAAAGTACTTCTTGTATTAGTCACTGTAATATTCCATCAAAAGATATCAGCTTGGGTTAGGATACTATTGGGCAAGATGGAAAGTCAAGAAGGAGTCCAGAGAAATTTCTGAGTTAAAATGTTGATTACATGAAGAAAGTATGTTATAGCCAGAAATGTATCCTATTTATTTTTCTTTTTTTTTCTAGGTACTCTTTTATTTATTATTTTTAGTTGAATTTTTAATCATTAGGACTCTTTTTTTTAAACAATCAAGATAGCCAATTTTATAAAAATGTACAGCCTACACAGAAATAATTATAACCATTTTCTGTAACTATCATTTCAGAAGAATTACGAATAGTGAGAACAAAGAGAAGTTAAACTGAAAAGCAATCTGATCAATGTGATGACCAAAGCTGAGGTCAGAGTGAGGTGGGGACAATAGCCAAGAAACATGAGCAGCCTCCAGAAGTGGGAAAGGGTAAAGAAATGGAATCTCCTCTAAGACCTCCAGAAGGAACACATCCCTGCTGACCTATTTTTGACTTCTGGCCTCCAGAACTGCACCATAGTAAGCCTGTATTGTTTTTAGTCCCCTCCACTGCAAAAACGTGATCTATTATACTTCAAATTTAACTTGGAAAACAAATATTACAATAGAAGGTGATATATCTGCCCTCTCTACCAAATTCACATATCTAAATCCTTTAAGGATAGTATAAACACAGCAAACTTTTTAGATACAATAGGATACTGAGCACCTTCAAAATACATGAAGTATGATAAATATACAATACTTTGAGTATCATTTTAGAATTAAATATTTATCATATTACATTCTGATCCTGTAAAAACTGATGGTACTATATGATACATCGATCTCTATTACCTAAAATGTAAAATTAACAAGGAACTTGATTTTTTTCACTTATTATTATTGTTATTTAAATTTTTAAAAACTTTTTCTAAATCTTTAGTGGTGATTTCTCAGATTTTGGTGCACCAATCACCTGAGCAGTGTACACTGTACCCAATGTGTAATCTTTTATCCCTTACCCTCCCGACCCTTTTCCCCAAGTCTCCAAAGTCCATTGTATCATTCTTATGCCTTTACATCTTAGCTTAGCTCCCACTTATGAGTGAGAACATATGATGTTTGGTTTCTCATTCCTGAGTTAATTCACTTAGAATAATGGCCTCTGATTCCATATAGGTTGCTGCAAATGCCATTATTTTGTTCCTTTTTATGGCTGAACAGTATTCTATGATATATATACACCACATTTTCTTTATTCACTCATTGATTGATGGGCATTTGGGCTGGTCCCATATTTTTGCAATTGCAAATTGTGCTGCTATAAACATGCATGTGCAAGTATCTTTTTCATATAACGATTTATTTTCCTCTGGGTGGATACCCAGTAGTGGGATTGCTGGATCAAATGGTAGATCTACTTTTAGCTCTTTTTTTTTTTTGCGATGGATTCTTGCTCTGTTGCCCAGGCTGGA
Organism: Homo sapiens; assembly: GCF_000001405.40. Taxonomy (NCBI): domain Eukaryota; kingdom Metazoa; phylum Chordata; class Mammalia; order Primates; family Hominidae; genus Homo; species Homo sapiens. The sequence goes on along the minus strand of NC_000004.12, from coordinate 90,013,559 downwards.
GTGCAGTGGCTTGACCTCGGCTCACTGCAACCTCTGCCTCCTGGGTTCAAGCAATTCTCCTGCCTCAGCCTCCCGAGTAGCTGGGACTACAGGCGCAAGCCACCATGCCTGGCCAATGTTTGTATTTTTAGTGGAGACGAGGTTTTGCCATGTTGGCCAGGATGGTCTCGAACTCCTGACCTCAGGTAATCTGCCTGCCTCAGCCTCCCAAAGTGCTGGGATTACAGGCGTTGAGTCACTGCACCTGGCCCTTTTAGTTTTTTAAAGAACCTCCACACTGCTTTCTAGTGGTTGTACTAGTTTACGTTCCCACAAACAGTGTAAAAGTGTTCCCTTTTCACCACATCCACACCAACATCTGTTATTTTTTGATTTTCTGATTATGGCCATTCTTTCGAGAGTAAAGTGGTATCACATTGTGGTTTTGATTTGCATTTCCCTGATAATTGCTGACGTTGAGCATTTTTTCATATGTTTGCTGGCCATTTGCATATCTTCTTTTGAGAATTGTCTATTCATGTCCTTTGCCCACTTTTTTATGGGATCGTTTATTTTTTTCTTGCTGATTTGTTTGAGTTCATTATAGATTCTTGATATTACTCCTTTGCTGGATGTATCAATTGTGAAGATTTTCTCCCACTTTGTGAGATGTCTGTTTACTCTTCTGATTATTTATTTTGCTGTGCAGAGAAGTCTTTTAGTTTAATTATAAGTCTCATCTATTTATCTTTGTTTTTGTTGCATTTGCTTTTGGGTTCTTGGTCATGAAGTCGTTGACTAAGCCAATGTCTAGAAGGGATTTTCCAATGTCATCTTCTAGAATTTTTATGGTTTCAGGTCTTAGATTTAAGTTTTTGATCCACCTTGAGTTGATTTTTGTGTAAGGTGAGAGATGAAGATCCAGTTTTATTCTTCTACGTGTGGCTTGCCAATTATCCCAGCACCACTGGTTGAATAGGGTGTCCTTTCCCCACTTTATGTTTTTGTTTGCTTTGTCAAAGATCAGTTGACTGTAAATATTTGGCTTTATTTCTGGATTTTTTTACTCTGTTCCATTGGTCTATATACCTGATTTTATACCAGTACCATGCTGATTTGGTGACTATGGCCTTATAATATAGTTTGAAGTTGGGTAATGAAATGCCTATAGATTTGTTCTTTTTACTTAGTCTTGCTTTGACTATGTGGGCTCTTTTTTTGGTTCCTTATGAATTTTAGGATTCTTTTTTTAGTTCTATGAAGAATTATGGAGGTATTTTGATGGGAATTGCATTGAATATATAGATTGTTTTTGGCATTATGGTCATTTTCACAATAATGATTCCACCCATTCGTGAATATGACATTTGTTTCCATTTGTTTGTGTCTTTGATGATTTCTTTCAGCAGTGTTTTGTAGTTTTTCTGGTTGAGGTCCTTCACCACCTTGGTTAAGTATATTCTTAAGGTTTTTTTTTTGCAGCTATTGTAAAGGGGGTTGAGTTCTTGATTTGATTCTCAGCTTGGTCATTGTGGGTGCATAGCAGGGCTACTGATTTTTGTACATTAATTTTATATCTTGAAACTTTGCTGAATTCATTTACCAGTTCTAGGAGCTTTTCAGATGAGTCTTTAGGGTTTTCTAAGTATACAATCATGACATCAGCAAACAATGACAGTTCGACTTCCTCTTTACTGATTTGGATGCCCTTTATTTCTTTTTCTTGTCTGAGTGCTCTGGCTAGGTTTTCCAGTACTATGTTGAATAGAAAAGATGAAAGTGGGCATCCTTGTCTTGTTGCAGTTCCCAGTGGGAATACTTTCAATTTATCCCTGTTCAGTATAATGTTGGCTGTGGGTTTTTCATAGATGGCTTTTATTACCTTAAAGTATGTCACTTCTATGCTGATATTGCTGAGGTTTTGTTATTGTTGTTGTTCTTGTTGTTGTTGTTGTTGTTTTTGAGCTGGAGTCTCACTCTGTCACCCAGGCTGGAGCGCAGTGGTGTGATTTTGGCTCACCACAACCTTCGCCTCCCAGGTTCAAGCAATTCTGCCTCGGCCTCCCAAGTAGCTGGCATTACAGGCATGGGCCGCCATGTCTGGCTAATTTTTGTATTTTTAGTAAAGATGGAGTTTTGCTATGTTGGCCAGACTAGTCTCAAACTCTTTACCTCAAGTGATATACCTGCCTCAGCCTCTCAAAGTGCTGGGATTACAGGTGTGAGACATCACGCTCGGCCTTGCTGAGGATTTTAATCATAAAGGGATGCTGGATTTTGTCAAATGATTTTTCTGTGTCTATTGAGATAACCATGTGATTTTTGTTTTTAATTTTGTGTATGTGATGTATCACATTTATAGATGTGTTAAACCATCCCTGCATCCCTGGCATGAAACCCACTTGATCATGGTGGATTATCTTTTTGATATGCTATTGGATTAAGGTAGCTAGTATTTTGTTGAGGATTTTTACATCTACGTTAATCAGGAATGTTAGCCTGTAGTTTACTTTTTTTATTAGGCCCTTTTTGGGTTTTGTATTAGGGTGATACTGGCTTCATAGAATGATTTAGGGAGAATTCCCTCTTTATCTTTTGGAATAGTGTCAATAGGATTGGTACCAATTCTTTTAATGTCAGATAGAATTCAGCTGTGAATCCATCTGGTCCTAGACTTTTTTTTGTTGGTAACTTTTTAATTACCATTTCAATCTCACTGCTTGTAATTGGTCTGTTCAGAGTTACTATTTCTTCCTGGTTTAATCTAGGAGGGTTATCTAGTTCCAGGAATTTATCCATCTCCTCTTGGTTTTTTAGTTTATGTGCATAAAGGTGTGCATAACAGCCTTGAATGATCTTTTGTATTTCTGTGTTATCAGTTGTAATAGCTCCCATTTCATTTGTAATTGAGCTTATTTGGATCTTTTCTCCTGTTTTCTTGGTTAATCTCCCTAATGGCCTATCAATTTTATTTATCTTTTTAAAGAAACAGCTTTTTTGTTTTAATCATCTTTTATATATTTTTTTGTTTCAATTTCACTTAGTTCTTCTCTGATCTTTGTTATTTCTTTTCTTCTGCTGGTTTTGGATTTGGTTTGTTCTTGTTTCTCTAGTTCCTTGAGGTGTGACCTTAGATTGTCTATATATATTCTTTCCGACTTTTTGATTTAGGCATTTAAGGCTATGAACTTTCCTCTTAGCACTGTCTTTGCTGTATCCCAGAGGTTTTTATAGGTTGTATCACTATTATTATTCAGTTCAAAGCATTTTTAATTTTCCATCTTGATTCCATTGTTGATTCCATCATTCAGAAGCAGGTTATTGAATTTCCGTGTATTTGCGTTGTTTTGAGAGCTCATCTTGGAGTTGATTTCCAATTTTATTCCACTGTGGTCTGAGAGAGTACTTGCTATAATTTTGATTTGTTAAATTTGTTGAGACTTGTTTTGTGGCCTATCATATGGTCTATCTTGGAGACTGTTTCATGTGCTGATGAATAGAATGTGTATTCTGCAGTTGTTGGGTAGAATGTTCTGTAAATACCTGTTTATAATATCCATTTGTTCTAGGGTATAATTTATGCCCATTGTTTGTTGAATTTCTGTCTTGATGACTTGCTAGTGCTGTCAGTGGAGTATTGAAGTCCCCCACTATTACTCTGTTGCTGTCTATCTTATTTCTTAGGCCTAGTAGTAATTGTTTTATAAATTTGGGACCTCCAGTGCTAGGTGAATATATATTTAGGATTAAATTTTCCTATTGGACTAGTCCTTTTATCATTATAGAATGTCCCTCTTTGTCTTTTTTAACTGCTGTTGCTTCAAAGTTTGTTTTGTCTGATATAAGAATAGCTATGCCTGCTTGCTTTTGGTGTCCATTTGCATGCAATATCTTTTTCCACCCCTTTACCTTAAGTTTATGTGGGTCCTTATGTGTCAGGTGAGTCTCTTGAAGACAGCAGATACTTGGTTGGTGAATTCTTATCCACTCCGCAATTCTGTATCTTTTAAGAGGGCATTTAGGCCATTGGCATTCAACGTTAGTATTGAGATGTGAGGTACTATTCTATTCGTTGTGCTATTGTTGCCTGAATACCTTGGGGATTTTTTTCATTGTGTTAATGTTTTATAGGTCCTGTGAGATTTATGCTTTAAGGAGATTCTATTTTGGTGTATTTTAAGGATTTGTTTCAAGATTTAGAGATCCTTTTAGCAGTTCTTATAGTGCTGGCTTGGTAGTAGCAAATTCTCTCAGCATTTGTCTGGAAAAGACTGTACCTTTCCTTCATTTATGATGCTTAGTTTCGCTGGATACAAAATTTGGGGCTGATAATTGTTTTGTCTAAGGAGGCTAAAGAGAGGTCGCAATCCCTTCTAGCTTGTAGGGTTTCTGCTGAGAAATCTACTGTTAACCTGATAGGTTTTCCTTTATGGGATACCTGATGCTTTTGCCTCACAGTTCTTAAGATTCTTTCCTTTATCTCGACTTTTGATAACACGATGACTATGTGCCTAGGCAAAGATCTTTTTGCAATGAATTTTCCAGATGTTCTTTGAGCTTCTTGTATTTGGAAGTCTAGATCTCTAGTGAGGCTGAGGAAATTTTCTTTGATTATTTCCTCAAATATGTTTTCCAAACTTTTAGATTTCTCTTTTTCCTTGGGAACACCAATTATTCTTAGGTTTGGTTGTTTAACATAATCCCAAACTTATTGAAGTCATTGTTCATCTCTTTAAAATTCTTTTTTCTTTGTCTTTGTCAGATTGGGTTAATTTGAAAGCCTTGTCTTCAAGCTCTGAAGTTCTTACTTCTACTTGTTCAATTCTGTTGCTGAGACTTCCCAATGATTTTTCCATTCTGTAAGTGTGTCTTTGATTTCCAGAAGTTGTGATTGCTTATTCTTTATGCTATCTATTTCACTGTGGTTTTTCCATTCATACCCTGTATCATTTTTTTTCCTTTCTTTAAGTTGGACTTCACCTCTATCTGGTGCCTCCTTGTTTGGCTTAATAATCGACTTCTGAATTATTTTTCTGGCAATTCAGAGATTTCGTCTTCGTTTGGACCCATTGCTGGGGAACTAGTGTGACCTTTTGGGGGTGTTAAAGAACCTCGTTTTTCTGGTTCCTTCTCATTTGGGTAAACTATGTCAGAAGGAAAATCTGGGACTCAAGGGGCTGCTGTTCAGATTCTTTTGTCCCACAGGGTGGGACCCACCCTTGATATGGTACTCTCCCCTTTCTCCTAGGGATGGAGCTTCCTGATAGTTGAACTGCAGTGATTGTTATTTCTCTTCTGGATCTAGCCACCCAGCAGAACTACCGGGCTCTGGACTGGTACTGGGGAATGTCTGCAAAGAGTCCTGTGATGCAATCCATTTTCAAGTCTCTCAGCTGTAGATACCAGCACCTGCTCTGGTGGAGGTAGCAGGGAGGTGAAGTGGACTCTGTGAAGGTCCTTGGTTGTATTTTTGTTAAGTGCACTGGTTTTGTGTTGGTTGGCCTCCAGCCAGGAGATGGCACTTTCAAGAATGCATCAGCTGCTATAGTATAGGGAGGATCAGGTGATGGGCAGGGCCATAGAGCTCCCAAGAGATTATGTCCTTTGTCTTTGGCTACCAGGGTGAGTAGAGAAAGAGCATTAGGTGGGGGCAAGGTTAGGGATTTCTGAGCTCAGACTCTCCATGGGTAGGGCCTGCTGTGGCTGCTGTGGGGGATGGGGGTGTGGTTCCCAGGCCAATGGAGTTACCTTCCCAGAGGGATTATGCCTGCTCCTGCTGTGTCACACAGGTTGACAGGGAAGTGGGGAAAAGCCAGCAGCCATGGCCTCACCCAGCTCCCTTGCAGCCTACAGCCTGAAAGGCTATTCTCACTCCCACCGTGCACCCCCAATAGCACTTAGTTTATTTCTAGGCAGCCCGTAAGCAGGGCTGAGAACTTGCCCCAGGCTACAAGCCTCCCAGCTGAGAAAGCAAGCAAGAAAGCAAGACTCACAATTCCTAGCTGTCTCACGGAGCCTGCAGCAACAACTCACCTCCTTCAAAGGGGCTGTGGATTCTCTCCACTTCCCTGGTATATTCCTGCAATAGTTCTTGGAGCAAAAGTTCCTGATATGGGTCTCCACATGCTTCTTTGTTGGTCCAAGTGGGAGCTACAATTTAGTCCTGCCTCCTATCTGCCATTTTCCCCCTGTATCATTTCTTGATGTCTAGTCTATTCTCTTTCTATTGCAGAGTGACAGGTAGGGAAAAGACCAAAGACTTTATATTCATTTGGTCCTGACTTTGGACAAGAGACTTAACCCCTGTGACCCTCAGATTGTTTTCTATACAAAGGGAGTAATAATTGCTGCCTGGCAGATTTTCTGTAAATATTAAATTTAAAAATGTATGCCAAGCACCCAATAGTCGACACATAAGGGTTATTCTTAGTAGCATGCATCTCTGAAGAATAACTTCCTTTTTTTTTTTTAAAAAAAAAAAAAAAGCTGTTTTATAGGGTTTGATTTACACTTTGGCTTTTCTTTTAAAATGCCACTTCTTTATGTTCTGATATTCAATTTCTTGTTACTACTGTAAGCAAGAGAGTCTGTTAAAATTGTCAACTTTAACAATTTATGTAATTTATGTTAGACTTTTAGAGTACTGGCTCTCAGTTTGTCCATGCCTTTCTATGCTCACACCCTATGAAGTCTCCTCCTATACTGACTCTAGTCTTGGCCACTTGACTTATTTTGGCCAATGATAACAGTAAGTATGACTAAGTAGAAGATTGAAAAACACTTGTACTGTGTGATTTTCCCTCCTTGCTGCTACTGGGATTTCTGGGACTACTCTTATAAGGAAGTCCAGGCTAGCCTCCTGGAGGATGAGTGACAAATGGAGATGAGTTGGGGTATCTTAGGTGCAATTCCCAAATGTCTCATCCTCAAATACCATCACACTGGAGATTAGGGTTTCACCATATGAATGGGGGGGATGGGACACACATACATTCAGTCGATAGCCTCAGAAAGAAAGATATTTTTAAATTACACATCTAAATACCTACCTTAATAAATATATGTGTGTATTTTATTTTATATATCTTTTTAAAATACATATCAGACACTTCTTGATGCCTAGGATAGAGTAGTAAATTAAACACATAAAAATTCCTACCCTCATTTGACTTATATTCTAATATAAGGAAGTAAAGAATAGAGATAAATAAGTAAAATACATAGTATGGGAGAGAGTGATGGGTGCTAAGGAGGAAACAGATATCAGAGAAGTAGGATATAAAATGATGAAGGGCAGTTGAGAAATTAAATATGTCCACCAGGAAAACTCTCATTGAGAAAGTAGTTTTTGAGAAAAAAACCTGAAGGAAGTGAGCTAGCCATATGAACATATGAGATTCGTGTATACTGGTAGTTACATTTTACATTGCTTTGGGGATCAACTAAAATCATGTTATATGGTTTGGAGAGTGGTCATAGTTAAAATGAAAGTTGGTTAAAACCAGACTGGGAAGAAATTTGAGTATGCCTTAATGGCTGACATTTCACTCATAATAAAAAGCAAGGTATTTACTATTACTTATAAGCTATGCTTTATCTGGTTACATGTAACTCTCTGACTTCATTTCTTTTCTGTTCACTACAGCTCTAATGGTCTTTTTGTTTTTCAAACTTGCCAAGCATGTTCATCTCAGGGCCTTTGTACTTGCTAGTTCTGATACATGGATACTATTCCCAAATATTCATATGGCTAGCTGACTTCCTTCAGGTTTTTTCTCAAAAACTACTTTCTCAATGAAAGTTTTCCTGATTGACTTATTTAGTTTCTCAACTGCCCTTCAACATTTTATATCCTACTTCTCTGATTTGTCTGTTTCCTCCTTAGCACCCATCACTGTCTCACATACTGTGTATTTTACTTATTTATCTTTATTGTTTACCTGATCACTCTAGAATATAAGTCAAATGAGGTAGGAATTTTTTTTTTTTTTTTTTTTTTTTTTTTTTTTTTTTGAGACGGAGTCTCGCTCTGTCGCCCAGGCTGGAGTGCAGTGGCGGGATCTCGGCTCACTGCAAGCTCCGCCTCCCGGGTTCACGCCATTCTCCTGCCTCAGCCTCCCAAGTAGCTGGGACTACAGGCGCCCGCCACTACGCCCGGCTAATTTTTTGTATTTTTAGTAGAGACGGGGTTTCACCGTTTTAGCCGGGATGGTCTCGATCTCCTGACCTCGTGATCCGCCCGCCTCGGCCTCCCAAAGGAATTTTTATGTGTTTTATTTACTTCTTTATCCTAGGCATCAAGAACAGTTATTAATATATAATAAAAGACTACTGATATCTGTCGGATTGCTGAATGAAAGGAAGAAATATGGAGGTGTTTTTCCCTATGTGTTTCAGAGTGTCTGTGAATTAGCTGGACATTTTTTGAAACTTTGATGTAAGTTTTAACATAATTGCAATTTACTGGGAGAGTGTCCATAACTGTCATCAGGTTCAATAAGATTTTTTGGTACAGGAACCAAAAGTACTACAATAATTGATCTAAAGAATTTAAAATACGTTTTGAAGTGGAGAATCGAGAGTCGTTAAAGTTTTTTGAGAAGGGTAGTGGTCAGAGTAGAATGGTACAAAAAGAAAATTAATCAAGAAGAACAATGAATTCAAGTCAGGGAGATTAAAGGCAAAGAGACCAGTCAGAAGGTTATTGTAGTAAGTAAGACAAGCATTAATGAGGTCCCTGAACTGCAAGCATAGTTTTGGAAGTGAAAACAAGCTTTCTTGCTCATTATGTGCAAATATTGTCAGTTCTGCCACTAGGTTACAATGTGATAGCATTGTTGAAATGGAAATCAAGTATCAAATTAAGAAAGTTATCTTCTTATTTTAAACCAAACAAAACCTCAAATGATGGGAGTTTGTGGGCAGAGATAAATTCACTGGATAAAGAGAGAAAGCTGTCACCACAATGTCCAACCCACTTTAACCTTAATCCAAAAGCCAACTTTTCTTCTTGCCTACCAATGCCACCAAGAATACATTTGTTTATGAGAAAGATGATGGGGAATTATTGGCTGAGTTCCATTAGGGATACTGGAATAAGACAAAAAATAGCACATTATTTACTCCTTTCACTCTTTTGATCAGCCATGAATACATCCAAATATTTTCATTTTCAGTTAGAAACTAAAGACCATTTATTATTTTAAAAATGTCTTAATGCAGTATATTCAAAATACTTCACTGATGTATCTCACATAGAGAAGGATAAACATATGAGAACTGACCTCTCACATTAGATTAATTCCAAGTCCTATGTTTTATGTGCATTTTGCATTCTCATCAATAATTTATCTGTGTATTTTTTATGAAAATTATAATTAAAATTATTCATTGGCTAAATACTCAAGAAAAACAAAATTAAGACTATTGATGCTGTCTTTATAAACCTCCAGAATAATGCTAGTCACTCAATTTTAGTGGACAAAAAAGGCCTTAATAAGAACTACTTTCATTTTCTCAATTGTCATAAAAGAGCCACAATAAAGTGAATCAAGGACTACTACAGTTAACATTAAAACTTAAATAATGGAAAGGTAGCTGCTATCATCTGATAAATTGTTAGCACAGCAATGCAACTGAGCAACTGGGAAGTAAATACCCTTCACACTTGAGTTTCTCTGCACACTGCAGTATATTTGATGCCCTCTTACTGCTCTGTTTCCACAGGCTTACCTCAAATATCCCTTCTCTTCCTTGAGCAAGTCCTACATTCCTATTCTGACTCTTGAACTTACTTGTCTGGTGCAATATTTCTTCAATTTCTACAATTTGATATGTAACAGATACAATACATATATCTGGTACTATGTTCATGGATGTTCTTCAAAAGAAAATCTCACCCCTAAACATGTGTATATTCATCCCTAGATCCTTCACATCTGTGGCCTTTCTATTCCACTCTTACCAGCCTTTCTCCATCTCAACCAGCTCTTTGCATCAATCCTGTTTCTCAATCCTCAGCATTTAAACTCATCTTCCGAGTTACTGAAAATCTGATCATACTATTTGCTTGCTTACAATCTATCAGCAGTTTCTCAAAGCTCTAGAATATAGCTTCAATTATATACGCAATCATACCCAGACCCCAGATTCTGTCTTTGCCTGCCACTCTGGATTCTTCTCCCACTACTTCCTCAGGTTGTGCTGTTTCACTCATTCTTCTGAAACACTGTGCTGCTTTCTCCACCTGCTACAGACACTTATTCCTCAAATCTCACGTCCATTGGTTCCCTTCTCTTGCCTAGGCGGGTACATCCTTTTCCATTTTTAGTACCTTGTATACTTCTATTGAAGCATTGTCTCATCAGATAGTATTGGTGGGATAATTTCTTAGTCATCTTTTTATCAGTACCTGGAGATAAGTTCCAGAGATATGAAAATTCCAGGTCACATACATGAGAAAGGAAAGAAAGTAAATCACTTATGTTTTTCAAACTGTGCCACTTACATTTAAGGCAAGCTTAATTGCTGCTGTTCAGCTGCTACATTTGGGAAACCTCAATCTGCCTTTGTCTGACTCACTTTCTGAGTTCTCGCTCCTGTAATGAGGCCATGTGGACATGTAGGAATGAGAAAGAATAGAAGGAAAAGTTATTGAGGAATGAATTGAGGAAACTACGACTTGGCTTTTGTCACTTCCTGCATAATGGCTTCTGGAACTACAGACAGCTGGGCAGAAAAAAGCACTGGCTCTCAAAGGAGATAAACAAATGCAAACCATTTTGATCTTGGCTGTGACTATGCAGGTAAAAAAATAAAGCAACAATAACAAAAAACCCAGCCTCTCTCAACAAAGGAGAGCAATTGCTCCCTTTGTACAAAGGAAATTTCAGCAGCTATGAGAGCCGCCTTCATCCAGCTATTGCTTTTTTGGAATGCAAATATTGGACCATCCCAGGAATTCTTGGCTGTCTGACAACAGAGACATCTAATCTCCTCGTCTACTCAAGCTAACCATCTGGAAATGGAACCTGCTTGCTATGATGAACCACCGTGGGTGCATGACATCCAGACATAGACTGGCACAGTAGCCTTGGCCCCAAATCAGGATCCCCTTACAATATTTTAAAATTGAAAACATATAGTAGGTGCAATTGCTAGAGCTACAGAAAGTCCCCGAAGATTGCTGAAATGGATCCCTAATACCTATGCATTAATACCAGACTGAATTTTGTTTGTTAAAGGGCCCTGTTGCATAAAAAAGATAGGTATTTTAAAATAATAGCATTCAATACAGTAATAAATGTACAAATTATAGATGCTCTTTAATGTTTAAACACATTCCCTGTGTTTTCACATAAAATCTAACTTAAAATGTATTATCCACAATAAATCTCCTACTTTGCATTAACATATTTCATATTACTAGTTATATTTTTATTACTTTTTTTATCTACAGCAAAGTGATATACATGTAGTATGAACAAGACTTCCGTATCTTATTGTAGAAAGTAATGAAGCTATTTCAACAATAGTTCTATTGAATAAAACTGGTTATATTGTCTTCTCCTTCCCATAATCTCAAGAGGATTTGGGGGAACAATGTGAAAAAATAAAGCCTGTACTAGATTCAGTGATTCCCTCTCTCCCTTTCCTTTCCCAGTATTCTACTACTGGTACCATCTGTAAACCATGGTTCGTATAAGACTTGAGAAAAATAAGAAGGACACTAATATAATTCATATATGTAAACATAACTGTATATTATTATATTTTATTTCCACATTTTGCCTACTGTGTATTTTATTGTGCTATTGCCTGTTTATAAGCTTCAAAAATGGGTCCGTATAGTTCTAGATTCTAGAATAGGATTAGCAGGGTATCACCCAACAAAAACTAGCACCAATTAAGAAATCCAAGTATTTAAAAATAATCTAGCTCCACTCTCCTAGAAAGGAAAAGATTCATTCTTGGCTCGGTGTTCAATCTTTTATAGAACTCTGCTTCCTTCTGAGTGTGTTCTATATTTTTTAAAAGCTTGGTACCATATCGCAAAATTCCGTGGTAACTGTATTTTCATCCTATGTCAGTAGCTTAATGTCTACACATGTTATCTGAGCTACAGTTTTCTTGATAAAGAAGAAAGAAAGGAAAAGAAAGGATGAGGAAAGGAAGGAAGAAAGGAAGGAACATGGAGAGGAAGGAAGGAAATCTCAGTCTGAATCTGAAAGAGGCATTTTGCCTTTGTGCTTCAATGCCAAAACCAAACCATCAAGTGTTCTTGACAGGAGGTCTAGGGCTATAATTTGTGGTTTTGTTGGCACCAGCCACGTCAGCAGCAGCAGCCAAGGAGCAGTGGTGATAGTGATGGTAGTAGAAGCGGCAGTGGGAAGTGGTACTGGTAGAACTGATGGGGAAGTTTTATGTGAGTTACTCAGAAATGGAGATCTCAGAATAGGGGACTTACACAATTACATACAACATGCTTTTCTTTTAGGACTCTGCCTAATATGTGGCAAAATCTTTAAAAAAGATAAAAATACTATATTAATAGTTTGCAAAGAAATAGTTTTAATTATTCTTAACATGCCACCATTTTATACCAAGATCAGGATAGCTAGAAGAAATAGATGTTACATATATGAAATAAAATTCCTAAAAAAATTGACTCACGAGGCGGGGCGCAGTGGCTCACACCTGTAATCCCAACACTTTGGGAGGCCAAGGTGGGTGGATCATGAGGTCAGGAGATTAAGGCCATCCTGGCTAACACAGTGAAACCGCGTCTCTACCAAAAATACAAAAAATTAGCCAGGTATGGTGGCACGCCAGCTATTCAGGAGGCTGAGACAGGAGAATGGGTTGGACCTAGAAGGCAGAGGTTGCAGTGAGCCAAGATCACACCATTGCACTCCAGCCTGGGTAAGAGTGCAAGTCTCCATCTCGAAAATAAAGATTAACTTGTGGCCGGGCACAGTGGCTCAAGCCTGTAGTCCCAGCACTTTGGGAGGACGAGGCAGGTGGATCACGAGGTCAGGAGTTCAAGACCAGCCTGGCCAACATAGTGAAACCCTGTCTCTACTAAAAATACAAAAATTAGGCTGGCATGGTGGTGCATGCCTGTAGTCCCAGCTACTTGGGAGGCTGAGACAGGAGAATCACTTGACCCTGGGAGTGGAGGTTGCAGTGAGCCAAGATCACACCACTGCACTGCAGCCTGGGTGACAAAGCGGGACTCTGTCTCGGGGGGGAAAAAAAAAGACTCATAAAAATGAAACTCATAATTCTAAAAGTTATTGCTTGGAAAAATATTTATATGCTGGGAGGCCACAAAGCCCAAAGCCAAGAGAACTAATGTATAATTTTGAGAGCTATTCATTAACAATCAATGTAAGATGTTTGTGAGAGAAAGACTTTTTGAGTACTTCTAAAATCACAGTACAATTTTTCCTCTGCCTTATTCCTTAATAAATATAATAGTCACATGAAGTCTAGCAGAATGCCACTACCTTTCTTGTGGATGGCTTGTTGTAGACATTCTGGGCATGTAATTTTCTTACAGAACATATATTCATTCTTCTCCTTCTTTAAAAGTTTATATGATAGTTGTTAAGTTTATTTAAAATAATTCCTCTTTCTTGAGAAACTTATGGCTAATGATTAAACTCTAAGAAGAAAGGACTGGTAAGAGCAGGTGGAAATATTTTTCCTTTAGTAAAATCATTTCAACTCAGGTAAGTTTTATAGTAACTAAAAGCAATTTCATTTGAACTTTTGAGTGACCTTTATGAGATTAGGTATTGGCAGCTTGAGTCCACCTCCTAGAGGATTTGGCCATATTTCAAAAGCACCAACATAATTGGCACTCCTTCCAATAACCTTTTCAGAGTCACAAGGTGAAGTGGAAACAGAGACCAGCCCAAACATTCAGAACGGTCTTTGTTGGACAAGGTTAAAGACTTTGTTTGCTTGTTTGTTTTTTTTGTTTCGTCTTTGTGTGTGTGTGTGTGTGTGTGTGTGTGTGTGTGTGTGTGTTTCCCACAATGGGGAACTTTACCCATAATTCTGTCAGTACAGAACCTTTCATAAATATAGATCAAAGTCAATCTAAGCATTACATGTATTTCTTATGCTATTTCCAATCATTGCAAAAGATATGAAAAAACAAAAAATGAACACAAAATGCCCATTTATTAAGACTCTTCATTGGTCAAAATATTATAGAATGGTGTAGCTAAGTGATGAATGTGAGAAAAATCAGAGGTGCTTTTTCCTTTTTCTGTACGGATAAATTGTACAAATAACATGAACATCATAAGGCTGACAGTGTATCACTCTGTTCCTCTGTGATTTGGTAATTAGTGGCATATACCATAGTAAATTAATTGGAGGTGTTTGAGAGGTTTTTTTGTTGTTGTTTTTTTAAATCCCAAGCATGGGGAGAGTTGAATTGTTCCTGCTTCTGCCCACTGTGTTTGCCATCTGGACTGCTGCTAACTGCTGGAAGTGTCTGCTTCTTCCCAAAGAAAAATAAAAGATAAATGCTTTTGAATACTACCTCATGCCTGTTTAAACGTCAATTTCTCACTATACACAGTAGCTCCCTCTACCCCTCCCCCTCATTCCCTTCATTTCCTTCCCTCCAACTATCTTGACAGGGAGAAAAAAAGAAGGAAATCTTACATGTACCACATTCCCATTATGATCCCCAGTGTGGTGCCATTAAATAGTACCCTTTCTGAGTGAGTCTAATTGGCCAATATATGGTGCTTTCTATTGATGCTTTGTAGTCACCGCTGAGTTCAATATACTTACATGTATATAATTCATCACGTGAAGGTCACTTTCTTCACCCTTATTGTTCTGCTGTTTAAATTGTTATTCTATGTGAATTTCCATGTAATTAACTGGTTTGGTGGCAATTTCAAGCACTTCAAAAAGACAAAGGGAAAACTGGGAAAAAAAGCCGCATTTGTGAATCGGTTTACATTCGGAGGCATTGCTTGTTGTTCCCCTGGACCACCAGATGTCAGCCTAAATTGAAGAATAGAAAAGAAACCATGTATCATAATGTTAGTGTCTAGTGTGCCAGATGGAGTTTTACACAACCCTGCAGGAAGAGGTAGCCAGGAGTAGTTAAAATTCAGCGTTAGGAATAGTGCAAGTGACACTGCATGCACTGTAGCATTTTTTGATTATGGAACTTAATTGTATCATAGATCACTGATAGTTTAATTTATGAGGATTGAGTTTGTTAAATCAAGCAGTTCAAAAGTCATTGTTAAAGCTTCAGTCCATTTAATTGTATCTGACTTAAGCTTTACTCATGCTATCAGAAGACAAACGGCTGTATAAAGGTAATACATTTTTATTTATTCTGCTGTTTGTCCATTTATTCTGCTGTTTGTCCATTTATTCCTATACGGGTCATTTACTGTGATTTACATTTCAATGAG
Organism: Homo sapiens; assembly: GCF_000001405.40. Lineage (NCBI taxonomy): Eukaryota > Metazoa > Chordata > Mammalia > Primates > Hominidae > Homo > Homo sapiens. The sequence goes on along the minus strand of NC_000004.12, from coordinate 89,998,125 downwards.
CAGTATTAGATATATGAAGCAGTTGTTGTTTTTTTTTTGGCTCTCAGCTGAGCTAAAAAAATGCAAATGTTAAATTATGTTAAAATGTCACTTTTGATTTCACAATAGGATTACAACCACCATAAAATGTTAAGGTTTTTCCTCTCAATATTACCATCCTTTTCAAACTGGGAAATTACTTACGTTACTTCTTAGGGCTAAATAGCTGTTTTGGTCTAATCTAACAGAAGTGGTCTGCTATATTTTTCATTAATATATGCAACATTAAACATGTAAGGAAATTCCATTAACACATCCATTAAGAGAAGCAGTCAGAAATACAATTACAGTAATTTTGCTTATCCTTATCTTTTGAATTTAACACTGAGGAATGAGTAATATATTAGATCGAATAATAGAGAAATGAATTTAAAAGATCGTGTTTGTGCATGTATATGTGTGGGTGGGAGAGAGAGAGAGACAGAGAGTATGATTGTGTAGTATGTATATTTTGCCCTGATAGTTTATTTAAGATTCAATCTTGCTCCAGCTGGCTCTCAACTAATGTACCAATGAAACAAGGTTTTTCTTCCTCTGTCTCTTCTCAGCTTCTCCTTGAGTTCTTAACCCTGACATTTATTTGAACACCACCAGCCAGGTTCTTATCTTTCTTTTCACCCCACTGAGCTATGAAAACCAAATTCCCTTTGAAGCCAATGATAATGATAATGATAATAAAACCTCACATTTGCTTATCATTCTCAGAATAAAAGAGCTTAAAATACTCTACAGACATGATCTTATTAACCTGGTAATAAAGCCCTTTTTGACATAGTGCATGCGAATTTCAAAAAGGTTAAAAGACTACTCCGTGGTTGCAGAGTCTATCGATGCACAGAATCAAATCGCACTCCTCATGCTATTCCAACAGTGGCTTTGACATCTTAACTTCATTTTTAAATCAGATAAGCTGGAAAGAGGAACAAAAAAGAAAGCCAACCTTTTATTCAATTTTACTTAATCCTTAATAATACTGTGACTTTATAGAAAATGAAATCTGAAGACTTAGGTTTAATAATATCCTACATCTTAGGTTTGTGTATTTTGAATCGCAAGCATCCGGTTTGTAAGTCTTCCATTTTAAGCAAATATTTTATAACCCAGAGGCTTGTTCACCTCTAGCACATTACAAACAGCATAGCATGCAGATTTTGTATCATTTCAAAAATCATCTTCAAATGATAGAGGTGCTGATATCGTAAAGAAGATAGACTAGTCTTACTTCTTGCCTAACATAATCAGAACATATATTAGGGAAAAAGAAAGAATAGATTTGATTTGATACTTGTAGTTCCAGCAAGAAATTATATTTTAAAAATCAAAGACAATGCTGAAAACAAGCTTACCCAAATTATCCACATCAATAGGTGTGGATATGACATGATGGGCCCTACTTCCATGGATGTGATTAGAAACCAAGTCTGAACATATATTTTCAGGCATATAAATGGAACAATATACCAAAAATAGTGGTATTGTTTTGTTTTTGTCTTTTGTTATTCCTATCCAAAGCAGTACAAGACGTATTTGAGTTTTCCCTTTCTTGCTTGTCTGTGATTCCCAATGTCTGATGTCAAAAAGGAAAAAGAAAAAATTGTTAGAAGAAAAAAAACTTCTGACTCAGTAGAAGCCACAAAATATTAGTAGTGTATGTGAATCATTCTGAGTTCCACCAAGTAATTATCTAGATCACAAATAGCTTTGAGAATTTCCATGAGGACCTGTTTACCCAGGTACTCCACACAACTTTTTTGCAAATGAAAAGCAGGATTATGGGGCCGATATACTTTCTCACTCCATCCAGGACCAGTCTAAATCAATATCACAGATAGAAAAGTGTGATGAGCTTCCTCCATATCAATATTGTATAAAAATCAGTGCTCCTTTTGTTTCAACCCTCTGTTTATTCTTTTAGTCAAGCAAAACATTTCTTAAATAACCTTTATCCTCTTTGATCTCTGCTCACTCACCTTCCCATTACGCATCCTTGCATACATAACCTGCAACTTTCAAACATTTGCTGTTAGACACTACAAGGGGAATCTAGGTGAGTTACTCTGTATGGAGTCCACAGTCCAGCAAAAAAAGCCGACCCAATGTGGTTAGTGCTTTATCAGAGTAATAAAAATGTGCTAGAAAGGCCAAACAAAGGGAACAATCTATTCTTTCCTGGAAGTGAAGTGAAGTTGGTGCTGAGAAAGACCCAGCAATACAGCTTCAAGACACAGTTAAGATGTTTCCATATGAGTAGTCTAAAAAATGTTATTCTAGAGAACAAAGGCACATATATGTAAAAATAGAACGTTTGAAGAATCCTGTGCTTAGAGTGTCTTGGGAGACTGACAGACTACATCTCCAACTTTAACTGTTGTACTTTAGCTCATAAACCTTCTTTGAAAATGCATTCATTTTCTCTAAACCCCTTAAACATTTAGTAAGCATTAGACTCTGAGGGGATACAAACATCTTAAATACTTGAACACTGCAATTTGATGTTTTTTCCATTCTTTATAAACCTCCCAATATTTTATTTTTCCTTCTATGACCAAAAGCAAGTTAGAAGCTTTCATTTTTACTGCCCACTAACATCGCCTAGAGTTTTTTTTAAAATGCCCATATTCAAAGACTTGTGTGTGTGTTTGTGTGAGACAGGGTCTCACTCTGTCACCCAGGCTGGAGTGCTGTGGCACAATAATGGCAGCCTCAACCTCCCGGGCTCAAGTGATCCGCCCACCTCAGCCTCCCAAGTAGCTGGGACTCAGAGACAGAGACCTTTTTGGATTCATTAAAGCAGATATTCGGGCAATTCTCACATGAGAATCTCTGGTGTAGGCTAAGGAGATCTGGTCTTCTGTGTTGTGTGTAACCATGGCCACCAGAATAATTAGTAGGACACACCCCTATACTAACTCATATTCATTAGTCTGGAAAAGATTAACCTCAAACAGTTTCTAAAAGTTCAAACTACTTCTTTTCCTGAGTAACTGATTCTTGAAATACCTTTCATTGAATCCGCATGGAATTCAAGATAAAGTTAAAATTCTTAACAGAGCATATAAGACCCTTCATTAGTGTCATACTATTGCATATTCGAACTCATCAGCTGCTGTGGGATAACAGACTATGCCACACCAAAAAATGAAAGACTATTGAACTGAAGGCAATTAAAAGTAGGTGCAAGAACGTTCTCTGCCCTCCCTCTATTTACCTAAAAGCAGGATATAGATTTACAAAGACAAAAGGTATCCCTACCAGGGAAAAACAAGGTTAATAACTACAGACAACTTTTGACCACTATGGACCTGGCAATGGCACCAGAGGAATCTGTATTAACAAGCTTTACTAATAGCCTTTATCTGCCATTTATTTGTCTTTCCCCACAAGTTGCAATCCCTGGAGACTCAAAGTCCTTTTGCTTTGTCTTTCACTTCTCTAAAAATCCACTGTTCTTTGTTGACAATGCTATATAAGCTGGAATTCAAAACCACTTGTTGGAAAATTACTCATTCTCTCGTTATCTCCCATGTATATATGAAATATACTTGTAAATAAACTTCTCCTTGCTTTTTTCTTGTTTATCTGTCTTTCATTACAGAGATTCCTTCCAACTAAGAATTTATGAGTTAAAGAAAAAATTGTTTTCCTTCCCCTGTAGCTGCCCTGTATACACACACACACACACACACACACACATACTTACTTATACACACACAGCTTTTTGTCCAATGACATAGAAACATTCGCCATTTTCATGTGCCAGGATCCCTCAAAGCTTCCAGTTTTGTATATCTCCCTCCTTTTCCCTATCCGGGTCTTATTCATTCATTTCACCACCCACCTTGAGGTGTATGGCTGACTCATCCTTTTAGACTCCATAAAAAAGTGTTCTTTGATTGTGCCCCATTCCTCAGGATGAATTAGGTCCTTCCTACTTTCCCTATGATGGTACTTTTATCACTGTATTACATAGCTAACTTGTCATTAGTTACCTCACTAGAAAGTGAGTTCTTGTTGGTTAGGTAGGGAGTCACATTTACCTCTGAAACCCTTTGGACAAATGCTTAGCATGCAACAGAGGCTCAGATGTGTATTGAAAAAAAAAGAATTATATTACTTCATTGAGGCATGTTATTATTCTCAAAGTTAATAATATTTTTAATTTTTGCATTGTCATTGAATATTTTCAAACCTTTGGCACATTTAGTTGCCAAATCTGTGCAGCATGTTTTAGCTATAACTAGACATACGCATAGCTTTCTGTATACAAAAGTCTTCAGTTTTAGAGTTAAGCTTTTTGAAAATTATTTTATATATTTTAAATAACTGAAGTTACAGACTCAGGAAATGTTAAATGTTGTACGGATTTCTTGTTTATATTAATATAAATTAACTGGATAATTCTATTTGGAAGGAAATTTCATGCTGAGAACAAAAAAGCTTTTCTTTGTAGTTAGTTCACTATTTCTATTATATTTCATGCTTAAAGTGAAGAGAAATGAAAAGAGAAGAAATTTGCGTTAATTGGATAAGCAATCTCCAGATCAGTGAGAAAGAACCTAATTATCCTTTGAAGATTCCCTTTCCTTCCATTTTTTCCATTAAAAGATGTAGGGGTTAAAAACTCTACCTCCATCCTCTTAGAATTCTGACTAAGTCTGAGAATTGAATTGACATAACATAAAATTAACAAGAGAAAAGCATAATATAAGTTTTATGTGGCATGAAAGCCCTCATAAAAAAAATGAAGACCTGAAGAGCAGTTTGAGTCAGTTACTTATATATTGGATTGGACAGAGAATAGTAAGTTATGAAGAAACAGCTAAGTTATGTGGGATGCTTAAAAGATAAGAGACATCTCAACAAAGTCTGTACAAAATTCTCTTGCTTTTGACTTCTCTTCCTGAAAAATAAAGATGTTGCTTCTTTCTCATATCAAGAGGGTCTTTCATGTCTTTCACATGGGAATCTCATCCTTTGCTTTTAAAAAACAACATGAAGGTCAAAGTGATTTTTTGTACTTGCTGTTTTCAAGTGTCTTTTACTTAAATAGTTAATATGTCATCAACTGTTACATGCACATTTGAAACCTTTCAAAGGGTAAAAGGAGCCTTGAAATTGCATAAATAAAGCTAGTTAATATTTAATGAGTGATTGACCAAATGCCAGATGTGAATCTACCGTGACCAAAGCCAAGGAAATATCTTTCAATGGTTTTTGCAGCCTATGTCACTTGAGAATTGTTTTTCAAATAGGTTGCTATAATAATCCTGATTTTTATAATCAGGCATTTATCCTCTGCTTCTATAGTTAGATAAGATGTAAAAATCTTTGGATTTCTAATGAATAAACCGAAAATCATGTCTCAAGGAAGTATACATTATATACCTCAAAACTGCTGGAAACACAAAGATAAATCTACTATGCTATTTTGACTACAATAGAGATATTTCTATAGTGCAATAAAACTTTCCTATTTGAATCATTTCCTTTCTTACTCTTGTATCTCCATCAGTTGCTACTCACTGTCCTATAATGTTTTCAGACTGATTCTACCAAGATGCCACGACTGAAATTTTCACTCTTAAGTGTTGAAACTCCTGGTTACTTCCATCTGCACTGCTTTTCTTAGCCTCTTATTGTCTTTTATGTCTCTCCACACTCTTTATTTCCTCCTTCCATCTCAAACATCTTTATCCTACTTATTGCATATTCCTAACTACCAAAGGACTGTTGCAGCTGGGAAGCAGACTCTGAGATAAGATCCTTTTATTTGTTAGAAAGTAGTGTCTGGATTAACGACTATGGAAAGAAAAGGAAACATCTAGGTCCATTCAGGCTTCTGTAACAGAATACCTTAGAGTTGTTGGCTTCTAAACAAAGAAATTTATTTCTCGTAGCTCTGGAGGCTGGAAGTCTGAGATCAGAGTGTCAGCATGATCAGGTTCTGGTGAAGGTCTGCTTCCTCGTTCATAGCAGCTGTCTTCTCACTGTGTCTTCACTTGGTGGAAAAGAGGAGGGAGCTCTCCAGAATTTCTTTTATAAGGGTGGCAGAGCCCTCATGGTCTAATCACCTATCAAAGACCCCCATCTCCTAATCCCTTTGCATTGAAGGATAGGATTTCAACGTATGAATTTTGGGGGGATACAAACATTTAGATTACAGTAGGAGGAAACCAGGATGGAGGAGAGGGAGAGGTTAAGCCACGACATAGTTAAACAAGGACCTCAGCTCAGTCAGCTGATCCCACAGGGAGCTCTGAGACTGATATGGCTGTCAAAGTTTCTGAGTTTAAGCAAGGAACCAAGATCTTTATACCTCCACATCGATCAGTCATTAGTTGTGTACTGCTCCTAGAATGGGAGCATGAACTTGGGCAAGGAGACTATCTCCACCTGAGCCAATTTCTGAAGAAGGCCAGTAGCTGAGGGCTCACAGCAACAATATTATAACTACCCAGGGAAAAGGTTGATCAGTCCTGAAAGGGGAGCTCAGTGACACATCATAATGCCCGCTGCAAAGACCAAACTTGTTCAAATGTGCCTTTTAACACGGAAAGCAAGACTAACAGTTTCTAGGGAATTTAATGACCTTTGCTGACTAAGAACTTTAGATCACACTGTGATGCAAGACATGAAGATATTATGACATAAGATATGAAAAGTCTTCTTTAGTAAACTAACGCAATTCAAGGGATTGAATTAGAGGTAAAAAAAAAAGACTCAAGAAAATGGGGTGGGGATGGGAAGTACCGAGTATGATGGTTGAAGGATTGGCAATCTGTGGAACTAAGTGCAAGAGAAAAGCCCCAAATAGCATGGGAGCCAAAAGGATTTTAAAGAACATGGTTGTCAGTGTCTGAGTGGAAGTTGTTGGTGTTGCTTCAGTGTAAATCTTTTTCAACTCAACCACCCCCACAGAAGTCTTTATAGATCTTCTTCATCCAGCATCTTACATGAATGATGTAATTTTAGCAGAAACTAAGTATAAGCTTCAGATTCATGAATGGGTTGTGTAGCATGTTTACAAGGAATCTGGAACCAGAATTTGGCCATTTGAACGTAAACCTTTGACAATTTTCATAAACCTTAGCAAATGTTCTTATTTATACACGGGCACAGAATGGGGTTTACATTTATCTTAATAGATTTCAAGGGGTGAGGAAACTCCAGGTTATGCTTGTGAACTGAAGTAGTTAAGCAATGAAATACTATTAATACAGAATTTAAAAAAGGAACAGCTTTGGAGCTCATCTGCAGTTGAGATAGCAAAGATGAACTAAATATGATAGACGACAGGACATTTTTCTTATTAGTTGTGTTCAAGGCCACATTCAGTCTAGATTTTCTTTTCCCATGAATGTTAGGGGTGCTGATGCAAACTCTACTTCAGCTGTGGTAGAAGGCATTTTGTGGCAAACATATTCACAGAATTTGTCAATTGTGTGTACATATCTGACAGGCCCTTAGTTTACAATTTCTTTTCTGGTATGGATGTTTGTGTCAACAACTTATTAAAGGACTAGAGCAATGAAAATGAGATTAATAAAATCTGTTTGATAAAGAAAATCATTGTAGTTTTATGATTAAACCTAGAATAATTAAAGGGAAAAAATGAAAAAATAATCCGTCATTTATAGGTAACTACTCTGCACCCAGCCCTATGCAAGGTATCTCAAATCCTCATACAGCTCTGAAAGATAGTCCCATTTTGCATTGCAGAGCCCTAGGACAACAAGGGCTACATCATTCAGAAGGACACAGAACTAGGATTCAAACTCAAATTTTCTCATTAAAGATCCATCGTTTCTAAATTGCTGAGAAATTTTGAAATTTTCTCATCAATTCTGATAAAAGGAAATTTTGCTTTAGCAAATTCCTATGTAGAATATAATGATCATGAAATGGAAAAACAGAAGATGAAAGAACAAAAAATATTTATAGAACTGTTGGTCAGGCCGGGTGCGGTGGCTCACGCCTGTAATCCCAGCACTTTGGGAGGCCAAGGTGGGTGGATCACAAGGTCAGGAGATCGAGACCATCCTGGCTAACACAGTGAAACCCCGTCTCCACTAAAAATACAAAAAATTCTCTGGGCGTGGTGGCGGGCGCCTGTAGTCCCAGCTACTCGGGAGGCTGAGGCAGGAGAATGGCGTGAGCCCGGGAGGCGGAGCTTGCAGTGAGCGTAGATTGCACCACTGCACTCCAGCCTGGGCGACAGAGCGAGACTCCGTCTCAAAAAAAAAAGAACGGTTGGTCAGTTGGACTGAGGTATTTTCCATGGCTAATTAAGAAAGTATTGGTAATTAACAAGAACTTCATTGTAACTATACTTGCATATTATTTGAATTTGTTGTAAAACACTCACTCTATTTAGTAAATTATAATATCTTAATTATTTTATGTTTTATCAGTGGTTACCAACATTCTTCTGTTGACTTTAGGAAATGTAGCTGAACTTGTGGGCCTAAATTATATTTGTGATCTGTAAAAAAAAAAAAATCTATAAAATCTGTAACTTATAAAATGATATACATGTGGGAAGAACAGGCAAGGATTATCCATTACTGAATGATGCCTAAATCAGATCTGTCCATGTTTAATTTCACTATACCTTAAATGTATAGATGTCAGGCCACAGGAGTACTTGTATCACCACACCCCAGTTTCATTGGCTAAGCATGGAGAGAGACTCTGTTTGGGAAAACATAAGGGAAAAGAACAAGAGTCTCTGCCTGGTAATCCAGAAAATTCTTCTGGATCTTATCCAAGACCACCAAGGCTGTACCTCTATGAGTCTACAAAAAACACAGCGATATTAGGCTTCGGTCCCAAGTCCCTTCAAATACCTGGAAAGCCTTCTCAACTAAGATGGCACAAATAAGCCCAGACTGCAAATACTACAATAAATACCTAACTCTTCAATCCCCAGACACCAATGAACATCCGCAAGCATCAAGACCACCGAGGAAAACATGACCTGACCAAATGAACTAAGTAGGTCACCAGGGACCAATCCTGGAGAAACAGAGCCATGTGACCTTTCAGACAGAGAATTCAAAATAGCTGTTTTGAGGAAACTCAAAGAAATTCAAGCTAAAACAGAGAAGGAATTCAAAATTAGATCAACTTAACACAGAAATTGAAATAATTAAAAAGAATCAAACAGAAATTCTAGAGTTGAGAAATGCAATTGACATAATGAAGAGTGCGTCAGAATCACTTAATAACAGAACTGATCAAGTGGAAGAAAGAATGAGTAAGCTTGAAGACAGACTGTATGAAAAGACACAGTCAAAGGATACAAAAGAAAAAAGAATAAAAAACAATGAAGCACACCTGTAAGATCTAGAAAATAGCCACACAGGGGCAAATCTGAGCTGCTGGCCTTAAAGAGAAGGTAGACAACAAGATCAGGGTAGAATGTATATTCAAAGGAGTGATATCAAAGGACTTCTGAAACCTAGAGAAAAATGTCTACATTCAAGTACATAAAGGTCATAGAAAACCAAGCAGATTTAGGCCAAAGAACACTACCTCAAGACATCTAATAAACTCCAAAAGGTCAAGGATGAAGCAAGGATCCTAAAAGCAGCAAGAGAAATGAAACAAATAACATACAATGGAGCTCCAATACATCTAGCAGGAGATTTTTCAGTGGAAGCCTACAAGCCAGGAAAGAGTTACGTAACATATTTAAGGTGCTGAAGGAAAACAAAAATTACCCTAAAATAGTATAGTCGCTGAAAATATCTCTCAACCATGAAAGAGAAATAAAGACCTTCCCAGACAAACAAGAGCTGAAGAATTTCATTAACACCAGAACTGTTCTACAAGAAATGCTAAAGGGAATTCTTCTATCTGAAAGAAAAAGATGTTATTGAGCAAGAAGAAATCAATGAGTTCCATTTGTTTAATGAAGAATTAGAATAAAATTGCCTAATAAGCAATCTCTCAGTCTCCTCAATAGACCTGAACAACTTTTTCAAAAATTCTTTTGGCCCTTAGTAGATGACTTTACCTCATTAGAAAAATAAAATTCACCAGAAGTTACCTCAATTTTGCCACCTCAGTTACAAATATATCTTCTCCTACTCTCATCCTTCCCTTTTTTCATTGAGTGTTCAAATTAATGGATACAAATAAACCTATCTGTAGGCACATTCAGAACCTGTGAAAATCCAGAACATTGCGGACAAAGAGAAATTTCTGTAAACTTTCAGAGAGAGGGAAAAAACAAAAGGGATATTAACAAAAGATGGGTCAAAATTACTTTGAATTTCTCTATAACCATGTAAGAAACTGACAAAGTCACGGAGCGATGTGCTGAGATTGCTGAAAGAAATTGATTTTAAATTGAGGATTTGAAATCAATCCATATTCAATCAAGGACAAGGAAAGAATTAAAGTATCTCAGTCATGCAGGATAGCAAAGAATTATGTCCCATTAAAATGAGGGACTAAAACAAGAAAGAAGAAAACATGGAATAGCTTCCGTTTGCAGAGACATAAGGGAATCTTCACTATGGGAGTAAGAAGAGTCTCCATATGACAACTGTTCACCAGGCCTAGAGGGCAATGAACCCAGATTGGAGCCAGAGAGGAGAGATATTTCTTCAAAAAAAAAGAAATTCATAGAATGATTCATGTGTCTGATCATTTCGAAGATTTAGACAATCGGCAAAGGGTTTAGAATTGAATTAGCGGTGAGTACAGAGAAAACTAAGAAAACAAGCAAATGAAAGCATGATAATTAGCTCCAGAGAAAACTCATCTGTGACTAACATTTGCATAATCGTCCTAATGTAAACATAAAATATTAATCTAATCCAACATCTGATCTAGCTACATTGGTAAGTTTGGTGGTGGCAAGGGTGTATGTCCATGGGGCTTGGGGGAAGAAAGTTAACTGCTCTTCCTCCTAAATAGCAGGTGACCAAATAATTCCTGAAACTGAAATCTCAGGAAATAGGGATACAAACGTGACCTTCAGAACCATTTATTTGTCTTTCAAAAGTTTCTATGCATGTAAAACTTTAACAAAATGCAAAATATAATAAAAACAAAACATTAAAAAGGACTAATGAGATCCCATCCTCCCATAGGACTTATGGCCTAGTAATGGATACAGTCAAGTAATAAATACATAAATAAAATGAAGCAACAAGTCCTAATGTGTGCTGTGAGAGGAACAGAAAGGGTGCCCTGATAGACACTAGCTGGGGAGGATTTTTTTTTTTTTGCATTGAATGAATCAGGAAAATTTTAGATTTTACCTAAGGAGGTGAAATTTAAGTTGAAAAAGTAATGAAAAGTCATGCATAGCTGGGGCTGGGTTTGGGAGAGTGTTCCATGCAGAAGGAAATATCAGTCTAAAGACCTGGAGGCAGGAAACAAATGAAGTTTTAGAGGAACGGAGGAAAGGCCTGAGTGTTTATAATAGGTATGAGGTAAGATGGAGAGTTTGAGATGAGTTTGGAGAAAGAGGAAGGGACTAAGTCACGCATGGATTTTATTTATTTAAAAATTAGAGTGTTTAAGCAGGCAAGTAAACTTATCTAAATATCAAACTGGCTTCCATGTTGAGAATGAATTGGAAACAGGCAAGATTAGAAGTAGGGGACCACCTAGGAGGAGTCCGGGCTAGAGACAATGATAGCGCTAGAGATGGAGAGATGTGATTAAATAGAAAATGTTTGAGACATAATATGCAAAATTAGATGATGAATCCAACATGGTCGGTGGTGGAAAAGGAAGTATTGAGGATTACTCTCAGATTTTGCTTGGAGCAACTTGGTAGATGGAGGCTCCACTTATTAAAACAGGAAATGCTGGAGAAAGCACAGATAGAAGTGTGCAAGTTGAAAAGTGAGTCTTTTTAATGCACAATTTAAATTTCAGATGCCATTAGTTATTGAAGAGAAACTATGAATCTCGCAATTGGATTTATTAATCTGAAGTTCAGGTATGTAAGTCAGGGAGCTATCAGAATTCAGAAGGCATTTAAAGCCACGGGAATAGCTATGATCACCTAGACTGAGTGGGTAAAAATAGAAAAGAATAATACTCATGGTTGATCTCTGAGTACTTCTAAAAATTAGTAGTCAAAAGAAGAGGATCAGAAGAAGAGATTAGCTGAGTTACAGACTAGTAGCAAATGACTGCTTTTCTTTTTCAAGTAACAAGCATTCCCATTAAGTAAAAAAATCAGAGCAAATCTCTCAACCAATCAGAGTCACAGATGTCAAGAAGCCCAGAACTTTTAATGCTCAGTTGTACTTTAGAATTTTAGTTAGTAAAAAGCAAGTTATTCTAAATGCCTATTGATTTTTACATCTTCAGTTTGTTTTGCCACCCATACAATTTTAAAGCTGGAAGGGTCTTCTATTCGCTTCTTGTAGCTGCTATAACAAGTTACTGCAAACTTGATGGTCTAAAACAACAGAAATTTATTATCTCACAGTTCTGGAAGTCTGCAGTTTGAAAGTATAATAGTATCACTTGGCCAAAAGCAAGGTGTCAGCAGGGCCATAATCCCTTGGTAGGCTCCAGGGAGAATCCGTTCCTTGCCTCTTCAGGCTTCTAGTGGCTACTGGTGTTCCTCGGCTTGTGGTTGCATCATTCCGTGTGGCTGCATTCCTCCATGGCACATTGCCTTTGTCTCTACCGAATCAAATATCCTTTTTATAAAAAAAAAAAATTGGTGATTCCACTTAAGTCCCACTTGGATGATACAGAATAATCTCTTCATCCAGAATCCTTAGCTTAATCACATTTTCAAAGTCCTTTTTTGCCATGTGATTTGACTTTCACAGTTTCCATGGATTAGGAGTCGGATATTATTAGGGAGTATTATTTGGCCTACCACAAGTCTTTATACATTATTTAACTTGACTCTTGGTCATGTTTGATAAGAGAAAATGAAGCAGAGTTCAAGTTACTCATGCAGGTGCATACCCAATCACAGACAGGGCTGAAACCAGAGGCCAGTCTCCTTGCTGCAGAAACCATGCATTAAATTAGAAGCAAGATGACATTTTTTTTTGTTCTCTGACACTGGTTTTGTACAGGCTAGCTAGAGATTTTTGAATCACAGAGATTGAAGATAAAAAATTTGAAAACAAATTTTAAGTTTTATGATTTTATTTTAATAACTGAAAATTACTTTTAACAATTATACTCACAAAACCTCTCATTTATAGTGATAATTCATAATTTAATACATTTTATTATAGAGTTTAGTGTCTTCAATTAGTGTTTCTTAAGGGAATTTGTGAATGACTTTCCTGAGGGTTCCAGGGACTTTACTTTTGAAGAAAGTGCTCAAAAACACTAGGAGCACTGGTGATTCAGATAAACTTTTTTTTTTCATCAAGTAACTGGAGAGATATAATTAAATGGTATGTGGTTCAAATCATCCCTGCTGAGGAAGCAGGCAAAGCAAGCAGGGTTTACATGTTTCCCAAACCACCTTTACAACCAGGTTAGTACACATTTTTAACGTTTATTTGTTTACACTTTACACATAAATGCTTCCTAACCAAAAACAAACAAACAAAAAATTAAAAACCCAGCCGGGCACAGTGGCTCACGCCTGTAATCCCAGCACTTTGGGAGGCCCAGGTGGGCGGATCATGAGGTCAGGAGTTCGAGACCAGCCTGGCCAACATGGTGAAACCCAGTCTCTACTAAAAATACACAAATTAGCTGGGTGTGGTGGCACACGCCTGTAGTCCCAGCTACTTGGGAGTCTGAGGCAGGAGGATTGCCTGAACCTAGGAGGTGGAGGTTGCAGTGAGCCGAGACCACGCCATTGCACTCCAGCCTGGGTGACAGAGGGAGTCCATCTCAAAAAAAATAAAAATAAAAATAAAATAAAAACCCTGCCTTAGACGATAAAATCAAAGCACAGTAGATGTTCATATGGTAAAATTGTTTTTGTCAGTCATCATTGCAAACTTTTCCAAGTGTCACATCAGCCTTACATAAGAAATCATAAAATGTAGGAGAAAAACATTCAAATTCAAGTTGATTATTCCACAGTCACTCAAAGCTGTCACAGAAAAGAATAAAGACATAATATTAGCATATCTTGAAAATAGTTGGGACATGCTTACTACTGTTTGGAGCTCTCATATATGATTCCTGATTGAGGAACCTTTTCCAAATATTAATGCATTCAGCCCCACCACACCTTTTCTGAAAAATGAGTGTCGACAAATACTATATTTTGAATCTAACTGCTTTTTTTGTTGTTGCTGAGACTAGGTCTCACTTTTTCACCCAGGCTGGAGTGCAGTGGTGTGATCTCAGCTCACTGCAGCCTTGACCTCTTGGGCTCAAGTGATCCTCCCACCTCAGCCCCATAAGTAGCTGGGACTACAGGCATGTGCCACCATGCCCAGCTTATATATATATATATATATATATATATATATATATATATATATTTTTTTTTTTTTTTTTTTTTTTTTTTTTTTTTTGTAGAGACAGGGTTTTGCCATGTTTCCAAGGCTGGTCTTGAACTCCTGAGCTCAAGAAATCCACCTGCTTCGGCCTCCCAAAGTGCTAGGATTACAGGCATGAGGTACTGCACCGGGCCTTTGAATCTAACTTCTGCACTCAGGAAAGTTCTTAATTTCATTTCTCTTCACCCTTATCAATACTTGTTATTTTCAAGCATTTTATTTTCAGCAATTCAGTGGTATGTACTCATATTTCGCTGTGCTTGAATTTTGCATTTCCCAATGTTATGCATTCATTTACATGTTCATTGTCTATTTGGATATCCTCTTTTGTCAAATCCCTGGTAGAGGACTTATGTCTCTTTTTCTTTTCAGCTATATTTTCTTATTGATTCGTAAGAGTTTTTTATATGTTATAAACATAAATCCTTTGTTGGATATACATATTTTATTCAGAATATCTCTTTCCCTTTGGAGGTTACCTTCTTACTCTCTTAATTTTTTTTACACTGACCAATTATTAATTTTAGTATCAAACAAAATATCAACTTTTTTCTATTATGATAGGGCTTGAAAAATTATTGTTAAGACTTGTTTTGAATCACATGATCAGCCAGCTGTATGAATTTAAATAACTTTTTAAAAAGCTGGAATATTGAATGACATCAACCTTAAAATAATGAATCTTCAGGTGCAAAACCCAATTAGAATTCATGCACAACTATTTGAATGAGAGTTATGTGTTAATGTAGCATAGTAAGTAAGTGTAGGTTTGGTATCAGGCGTGGTTCACATATTCCTTTTGACATCTAGTTCAGATTAGTGGATAATGTAACTTTTATGAGTCTCCCAGTAAATTCCTCTGTAAAATAGGGATAATAATGCATACCTGATAGTCTCTTAAATAGCTATCATATATAAGATGCTGAATATGACATTATTCTCAGATGTTACTTTTGTAAGCATTTCAAATAAGTACCAAAAAAATGTTTTCAACAGGAGGATGCAGTGAAGTTTCCCACTATCACTAAATATATGAATCAAAATATCCCTATACCTATGGAATAAACATAACTCATTTGAAAGCAAGAATTATGAAGCACCATTCAGATGATGGATGGATGCTCACAATTTTACTTTACAAATGACATTCAGGTACTTAATTTTTAAATTGCTTTTTGAGAGATGAAAAATAAACTCATTTATCAACAACATAACAATGTCAACTGAAACTGTTATAGAATGATGGTCTTGGAAGGAAAAATATAACTTAGATTCATGAATTCCAGAGACATCTTAATTCAAGAATTAAACTCCATGGGTCTTAATGGCAAATGGGAAAATGCTTGGCAATATTAACAATAAGGTACTATGTATACTGCATGAGCAAAAAACAAGCCCTATTTAAAGTAGTGACATATGCTCTATGAGAATGCGAGGACTCATGATCAAGTATGTCAAATAAAATAGACAGGTCCAACAATACAGAATTGACAGCATGGTGTTATCAGCATACATGAGCAAATGAGTTGGTGCAATTCACTGAAAGAGGGCAGCCATCATGCTATGGAAAGATCAAAACACAGATAGAAATTTCTCATTAAGGTTGTTACTTTGGAGGCAATTGTGTAAGTATGTTGTCAGCACTTTTTAAAATGCTGCTCTAGCAATTGGCTAGAGAAGGCAAATTGCTTTGGTAAGATAGTGGTATTATCACATCCCCATAACTGTCCATGAGGTATTCGTCATGGATAAGATCATTATCTTTGCAATCTATTATTTTTTAATATTCACAGTGTTTTCCAAATTTAGACAAATACTTATAAAACTTACATGCTGACATAAATAAGTTACATCATCTCTCCTAAAAGAATTCATCCTTTTGGGGATATTTACATAGAGATACATAAGCTATAGATGATATAGACAGAGACATAATGTTATAAAAACCTTATAATCACATATATATGTATGTGTGTGGTATACGTATATAAGATGACTTAATATGATGAAATACTCGGATGTTTCTTTGTAGGCATTTCAAAGAAGTACCAAAATGTTTTCAGCCTGAAGCTCCAGTGAAGTTTCCTGCTATTACTAAATATGTGAATCAAAATATCTCTATAGCTGTGGAATAAACACAGCTCCTATGAAAGCAAGAATTGTAAAGTTTAGTTGGTTAGGGCTGCCATAACAAAATGCCACAGACTAGGTGGCTTAAACCAGAAATTTATTTTCTCACAATTCTGGAGGCAAGAAGTCCAAGATCATGATGGTAGCAGGTTTGGTTTCTCCTGAGAACTCTCCTGGGCTTGCAGCCAGCTGCCTTCTCACTGTGTCCTCACATGGTCTTCTTCTGTGAACATCACTCTTATAAAGATGCCAGTCAGACTGGACTGGGGCCTACCCTAAATAACTCATTTTAACTTAATCATTTCTTTATTTTATTTTTTAAAAATTTTGTTTCTACTATTGGTCACATTAATCATCTCTTTAAAGTCCTTACCTCCTAACACAATCACATTCTGAGATACTGGGGGTTGGGACTTCAACATAAGAATTTGGGGTTTGGGGACACAATTCACTTCATAACAATACATTTTTTATTATTTTATGTTGTATGTTTAATCACATAAATGTGTTTTACTACAATTGCTGTTTTACCATTAAGTTCAGTGATTTTTTTTAAATTTATGCACAGTCTTAACTAATGTGAAAGGGCTCTAGACTCATTTTAGATATCAGTTGCTACAGTAGTAGGAAAAAAAGCCTGATGTCCTATCTCAAATGATCGTTGGTGACACTTCCTGGGAAACTCAAATGTTGAGGGGTGGCCACTGGCAATCTCAATGTCAAGAGCCTGATGCCCTTGACAACTCCTGTTGGGCATAAGCACCTGAGCATCCTCCCACATGACATTTGAACTGGCCTTGCAGCACAGCACGCGCTTCTGGGTGTGACGCTCGAAAAGGGGCATTGACAAGCAGTAGTTAGACCCTGAAAATAATTTTCTACAGAACTCTATATGACAGAATTAAACTAACTTATGAAAATAATGGAGAAATGAGTCTTAGCTCAATATTGAGAACAATTTATGTGCCTCAAAATATAATGAGCTTCTCATTACATAATAACCCCTCATCCAATAAAGTGTCCAGGGACAGGATAAACTCCAGACCAACACTCCCCACAAAATACTCTTCTCTTTTCATGTCTACTGTTAACAGAACTGGATCATTTGCACATTACCTAAGTTTGCAATGTGGTTATACATTAATTTGTTTCCTGCCAGGGAAAATAAACTTGGAGGTAAGTGAAATGCTGGGTCCCCTTTTAATATATAATGGCATCCAGGGTTTCTGGACTGTCAAAGATTATGAAATATACTGAGATAGTTACCATCTTATTCTCCTTCAGCTTATCACTATTTGAAGGGTTTTGAATTCTAAAATTAACCTAATAATTTTAAAAAGCAATGTGAGAAATTATTTATGGGAATTTTCTTGAAGCGGGTATATATTCTCCCCAGTATAAAAGCAATTATGTATTGATATTTTCTTCCCCCATACCTCCCCACCACGGAATTAACTGTGCAGTCCATTCATGGCTTAAGATCTATAATAACTTACCATAATATTCAAATAAATTTTTTTGAATGATTTAAAAAATGTTGACCTTTTTTTGGATATACATCCACTCTTTGTATTGTCTCTTAATTCATGAAGATTCATATGACCAGATCAAATCAACTGAAGACATTTTTTTATTCCCAAAGATCTAGAGAGTCTTCTGCTTGGAAGAGCTACTTTCCAAAAGAAAGGCAAACATAAGAAGGAAGAAGATGGGCCGGGTGCGGTGGCTCACGCCTGTAATCCAGCATTTTGGGAGGCTGAGGCAGGGGGACCACGAGGTCAGAAGTTTGAGACCAGCCTGGCCAACATTGTAAAACCCCGTCTCTACTAAAAAAAAAAAAAAATACAAAAATCAGCCAGGCTGAGATGGTGGGTGCCTGTAATCCCAGCTACTCTGGAGGCTGAGGCAGGAGAATCGCTTGAACCTGGGAGGCGGAGGTTGCAGTGAGCCAAGGTCAAGCCACTGCACTCCAGCCTGGGTGACAGAGTGAAACTCCGGTTAAAAAAAAAAGAAAAAAGAAGGAAGAAGGTGGGGGACTGAGGGTTCACAGGAGTGACTGAATTACACTTCCCAGTGTGTGGTATACACTGCAAAAAAAGCCATGAGTTCAAGAGTTAGGTTTAGCTTGGAGGGGATAAGTACCAAAAGAAAGGGAAATAAATTTGACATCTGCATTTGTGGCCTGAGATTTGAATTCCTACATCTAACAAGTAAATTGATCTTTCTTTCATATTGTGAGTTAAGTTTAATCTTTTTTCCAATATTTTGTCACAGTAAAGTGGACAAACATAGCATGAAAACAAAAATATTACATTGGGATTGTTCTCAAAATCAGGGATTTTTATATAATAATATTTTAAATATTTTAAATCTATAGACATGTTGTAATTCATATTGATTACTTTCAGTTTTAAATGAAACCAAATATGTCTTGATTTATACAATAATATAAAGATAATATAAAGGAGTATGAATTATGTGCCAAGTGGTATTCTAAAAGCTGTATATCTGTTAATTAATTTAGTCACCATACCAAATTATTTTAGAAAATAATTTCATATCACATTTTCTTTCTCTGTATGCTCTCATTTTAAAGCATTCAGTTTTTTCCTATGTATGAGCTGTTTTACTAGAAGTTAATGACACATTTGTAGTTGGAAAACCCAGAGTGCAAAACCATTTTCCTCAGTTATTTTCTTTCAGTAATTCAAATTTTCAGACCATTGCCCAAAATTAAGACTGTTGAAGCAGAAAAAAAATTATACAATTTTATTGAAAGCCAAATTTGAGGATCAATCAAGAAAGACACACCAACAAAGGTGGGTGTGTTCCAAAGTTTGTTCCAAGTTGGAATGCTTTTGTAAGAAAGTTTAGAAGAAGGGAGGGTGACTCCTCATATTGGAGTTGTCCTTTTTCATTGGAGGGTAAAATCCAGAGGTTACAATCATTGGCTACAGATAACATCTTACAGGCTCAAATGTTTTATGCACAAGACAATAAGTAAAACTTCATGATTCAGAAAGAAATCAGCAAAACTTTATGATTTAGAAACAAATTAGTGTCCTTTTCAATGTCAGTAGGTTACATATTAATCGGTATGTCAACAATTTGAGGAACTCACGATCAGATTTGAACATCTCACGATAAGATTCTTTACTCAAAGACAGGATATAAGACATGAATCATAAGATCTTTTCCAGGCAGTTAAAACATATTTTATTCTTTAAGTATAGGGGTGCATGACTTAACCCTTGTGTGGCATGGGCCTAGGTGCTGTTTAAAATTTGGTATTTTATTGCCACGAAGAGACTGTTCAGCCAGTTTTATGATCTCTATTTAACATTAATGCTGGTCAGTTGTTGTGTATAATCCCCAAAAGGGCAGGGGTATAATGAAACCTGTCCAACCTCCCATCTCATCATAGCCAGGAATTCAGTTTTTAAGGTTTCTTTGGGGTCTCCTTGGCCAAGAGGGGATCAGTTCCGGCAATGGGGTGCTTAGGAATTTGTTTTTAGTTTACAAGATGTCTATGTGTTTATATATTTGTAAATGTGCATGTATATGATAAAAGAGTATACTTTGTTAATATGCTATCACTTCTAATCTTGCTTTTCTTTTGTTTTGCCAAATCATGAATCTAACAATACAACTGAGTCAGTCTCAACCTAGTTTTCTATTCCCACCTTACTTCCCCGAATTGCATTTGTTGCCAGTGGTCGATGAGGTTGTTTTAATATACTTATTCTTTCATCACTACTCTTTTTCTCAGAATTTCTCTTCATAGTATATCTAACCACTTCATGAAGTAGCTAATTAGATCATTTCTAACCTTCTGCTTCAGTGACACATAACTAAGTCAAGTATGCAGGAATTATGTGGATTAAGTTGGAAACCTGTGGTTTCCCTAGACCATAGCCAAGGTACCTGATCATGTAAGAAAAACAGCTTCAGAAGGGCGACAGAGATAGATAGAAAGAAATGAGTGGGAAATTAATTTTAGTATCTGAAAGTTCTTGTTTTACATTGGTTTACTCAAGACATTCTTAATAAAGTATTTCCTGTTGCCTTGTCTTGATATTTATTTCAAGAAAGATTCTTTGAGCATCTCAAAATCTTTGTTTCAAGTGAAATATTTTTGAGATTAGGAAAAAACATTTTTAGATAATAAATTGAAACATACAGCTCTGAGCAATAGTGTCCTGACATCCAAAAAGGTCCTATCATATTTTTTTACACTTTGACATGGTTTCAAATGTTTGTTGCCATCATCTTTAAGTGAAGAATTCCAGAATTACCAGTAGCAAATACTTCAGGAGTATGAATTACATGCCAAGTGGCATTCTAAATGCTGTATGTCTGTTAATTAATTTAATCACCATACCAAATCTGTGAGGTAGATACAGGCACAACTCATTTTATTGCACTTCATTTTATTGAGGCTTTGCAAGTATTGCATTTTCTTTTACAAATTGAAGGTTTGTGGTAATGCTACATTGAGCAAGTCTCTGGGCGCCATTTTTTTTCCAATAGCATATGGTATTGGAATAACACAGGCTATTGGAAAAAATGACAACCATAGACCAAAATGTCACAAAGAGACTTTGTGTTTCTTACAAGAACTCAAACTTTTTCATTATTATATGTTATGATAATCTGTGATCAGTGATTTTTGATGTTACTATTGTACTTGTTTTGGGTTGCCATTAACCATGCCCATATAAGATGGTAAATAATCAATAAATGTGTGTGTTCTGACTCTTTCACTCACTGGCCATTCCACATCTCTTTCTCTCTTCTTGGTTCTTCCTATTTCCTGAGACACAACAATGTTGAAATTAGTCCAGTTAATAACCCTGCAATGGCCTCTAACTGTTCAAGAGAAAGGAAGAATTGCATGTCTCTCACATTAAATCAAAAACTAGAAATGATTAAGTTCACTGAGGAAGACATGTCAAAAGCTGAGATGGGTAAAAAGTTAGGTCTTTTGTGCCAAACAGTTAGCCAAGTTTTGAATGCAAAGAAAAAATCTAGAAAGAAAGTTAAAGTGCTACTTCTGGGAACACATGAATGATAAGAAAATGAAGCAGCCTCATTGCAGATATGGAGAAAGTTTTAGTGGTCTGGTGAAAAGCTCAATACAGCCACTATGCTCACTTAAGTCAAAGCTTAATTCAGAGCAAGGCCCTAACTCTTTTCCATTTCATGAAGGCTGAGGAAGGTGAGGAAGCTGCAGAAGAAAAGTCTGAAGCTAGCAGAGGTTGGTTCATAAGACTTAGGTAAATGCCATCTTCATAAGACAAAAGTGCAAAGTGAAGCAGCAAGTGCTGATGTAGATGCTGCAGCAAGTTATCCAGAAGATCTAGCTAAGATCATTGAATGAAGGAGGCTACAGTAAATGATTTTCAAGGTAGATGAAACAGCCTTCTTCTTTTGGAAGAAGATGCCGTGTAGGACTTTCATAGCTAAAGGGAAGTCAATGCCTGGCTTCAAAGCTTCCAAGGACGGGCTGACTCTCTTCTGAGGGGCTAATGCTACTGGTGACTCTCAGTTGAAGCCAATGCTCATTTGCCATGCAAAAAATCTAAGGCCCTTAATGAATATGCTAAATCTACTCTATCTGTGCTCTAGAAATGGAACAACAAAGCCTTGATAATAATGCGTATGTTTATAGCATGGTTTATTGACTATTTTAAGCTCCTGTTGAGATGTACTGCTCAGAAAAAAAAAAAAAAGATCTCTTTCAAAATATTACTGTTCATTGACAACGTGTCTGGTCACCCAAGAGCTCTGAGGGAGAAGTATAAGGAGATTAATGCTGTTTTTATACCTGCTAACACGACATTCATTCTGCAGCCCATAGATCAAGGTGTAATCTTGGCTTTCAAGTCTTATTATTTAAGGAATACATTTTGTAAGGCTACACCTGCCATACACAGTGATTCTCCTCATGGATCTGGGCAAAGTAAATTGAAAATCTTCTGGAAAAGCTCCACGATTCTAGATGCCATTAAAAACATTTGTGATTCATGGTAGGATGTTAAAATATCAACATCAATAGGAATTTGGAAGAAGTTGATTCTAACCCTCGTAAATCACTTTGAAGGGTTCAACACTTCAAAGACTTCAGGGGAGGAAGTAACTGCGGAGCAAGAAAACTAGAATTACAAATACAACCTAAAGATGTGACTGAATTGCTGCAATCTCATGATCAAACTTGAATGGACAAAGAATTACTTCTTACAGATGAGCAAAGAAAGTGGTTTCTTGAGACAGAATCCACTAGTGAAGATGTTCTCAAAATTGTTGACATGACAACAAAAGATTTGGAATATTATACAAACTGAGTTGATAAAGCAGTGGCAGGGTATGAGAAGACTAACTCCAATTTTGAAAGAAGTTCCCTTGTTGGCAAAGTGCTATCAAGCAGCATCACATACCACAGAGAAATCTTTTGTAAAAGGAAGAGTCGATAGACGCAGCAAACTTCATTGTCTTCTTTTTTAAGGAATTGCCACAGCCACACCAACTTTTAGCAACCACCATGCTGGTCAGCAGCCATCAACATCCGGGCAAGACTTTTCACCAGCAAAAGGATCATGACTTGCTGAAGGTTCAGACGATTGTCAGCATTTTTTAGCAATAAACTATTTCTAAATTAAGATATGTATTTTTTACATACCTTAACAACTTAATGCTGTATTTCTTTACATACCTTAATAACACAATGCCTTTGCACACATAATAGGCTACAGTACAATGTAAACATAACTTTCGTATGCACTGGGAAACCAAAAACTTTGCATGACTTGCTTTATTGTAATATTTACTTTTTGCAACAGTTTAGAAACAAATCTGCAGTATCTCTGAGATATGCCTATATAATTTTTATTATTTCTCATTTTATAGAAGATGAAATTGTCACTCAGATTAAATAACTAACCATAGGGCACACAGCAGGTAAGTGGAAAAGCCAGATTTTGAGGTAAGCAGTCTTGTTTGTAGCCACTATGCATTCCACCTCCTTAAAAAAATCCTTTTAGTTCAATTATTCTGTGCCGCTTTTAATCTAATGTCCTTTCCAGTGTGCTAGAGTGAGGAAAGAATATTTTTGATTGAATATTTGAAAATTCTTAATTTAAGGAGATCAATCAAAATATTTTAGTGAAGCATTTTATTACTACTGAGCCAAATAATTTTTAGCAATATAAAATAGATTCCTTAATTTTCATTTAATTTTGGTGCATTAGAACAGCTTGTGATATTCAATAGCTCTAACTCTTACATGGTCTGTGTGGTTTGTTATATTGACATTTATGGTTAATATAATAGCTAAAGAATCTATGAATACTATATTAAAACTGATCTAGGAGGACAATAAGCAGACTAAAAATGGATTAAACATTTTATTTATGGGAGAAGTCCTTTTTCATTTTGGTAATGATTATTTTTGCAAAATCTTTTGTAGTAAATATTTTTTTACACCGCTGCAAGGTTTGTGTCACTATGACACAAAGAAAAGTGAAAAATTAATATAGCTTCCTGAAATTCAACAAATAATTTCCTGTTGCATTTTCTTGTTCATATGTCCTTATTTCCTATACCAGCCTTTTGCTGAAACACTGATACATTACCTTAGGCTAAGGATATATTTCATTTCAGAAGTAAGCGATTGAATGTGTAAGGCTATCTTTTTATCTATTTTTTTCCTTTTAGTTTTTTAATCTGTCAGATGATGCCTGTGCGAGCTTATGCTGGTGACATGGTATCTCTTGATTTATTCATTTCCAAAAGTTGTCTTACTCTGCCAGTTCTGTTCATCTTTGCTAAAACTTGAATCCAAAAATAAGCAGTTATTTAGAGCTTTCTAATTGTCTCCTCTTTCCTGTGCATTCTTCTTTATCCTTCACAATCTTTTTTCTAGCATAATCATAGTGCTAGCCAATCATTTTGTGGGTATTTGCTAAGTACTAGTCATTGTGCTTAATGTTTTGCCTGCATTGTCACATTTAATCTACATAAGAATCTTAATAAGTAGGAATCATTTTATGTCCATGTTACAGGTGAAGAAAATGGGGCACAAACAAGTTGAGGTCAAGAGGTTGATGACTGTAGTTTAAACTCAATCAATCTGTGTCCATGATTCCCCACCCTTACTAACCAGCCTCTTGCATCAAATAGGTATGACCTTTGGGTTTGACCAACTGACAACTGATTTTAGGCCTTGTTTACAAGGGAAAGCCTGATTATCTTTGTACCTAAATCTGTGATTATTGTCTGTAAAAAAGTTTGATTTAAGGTAAATAAATAGTGGAATCAGAACTTTTAAAGACATGCAAACAATCAAACTATGGTTTACAGATGATTCTTACAGACTTGTCTTTGGAGTTGATTTAGTACTATAGACTTCATTTAATTGTTACAGACAATGATCACAGGGAACTGGATTTATATGAGAGATTATTTTTATAAAAATTAAATTTTACCCTTACCATTTCCACACACCTTTATGTATAAATTATGTGATTCTTCATAGCATATTTCTGTTTGAAGTGATTTTAGCTAACATATTTGTGCACACCTAAAACATATGTCCTTATGAATACTTCACTCATATTAAGTCAAGCATTCACTAAAACCATATTAAATAAATTATCTACTATATGTTGACCATTGAGATGGACCTTATAGATATTATGAACAAGAGAAACCAATGTTAGGTCCCTGTGAAATAGCTCTAATAAATGTAGCTAGTGAGTATTGCAGGTTTCTGATTATGGGAGTGAATTTTTTTTTTTTCTGTAGTAGCTATGCCTGAATGTAAATACTAAATGCCAGTGTTTCTTTGTAATGAAAAGCAATATATAGGGGTTCAAAAATCTTTTCTTTTTAAAATTTCTGTCATTTGGAAAATAGGTTTGATTATTTAGAGAGGTCTATAAATTACCCTTTATTCAAAATGTCTATAATTTTAATCATGTTATTTTAATTGCAATAGGTTGTAAATTTGCAATAAAATAACAAGAAGGGAGGCTGTAACAGATGTTCTGCCAGCACATGTGATTTCATCTGAGACAATCTAGCATTCATCATGCTTAATCTTCATCAATTGAAATGTACTACTGCTTTTCAATAATGTCAGCTCTGTACACTCAAAAGGCTTCTGATATTTAGAAAAACAAATTTGACTCAAACAGTTTTTTGTGTGTAGTTAAACGATGTATCTCTTTATCCTGATTGTAATTTTATTTAGTTGTGTATTATTTCATATTACATGATTTAAAAAGGTAGCTATCTCTTTCTATAGATGCAGTCTTTTTATTTTTTGGATCATCCCATGTTTCTTTGCACATGATGAAAAATATTTTACCCAAATAGGCAAAATATCATCTATGCTTAAACTGGATGCAATTTGTAAATAATGGTGTTAATTTTTTTCTTTGGAGTATACTACACAGATGGCAGCGTAATTAATTTAGATCGCTGTAAAATCCTATGGAACAGCACATTAGCAGTAATACTCTCATAAAGGAAATACAATTTAGGCCTGCTTCAGTACTATATTCAATGGAAATTAATTTCATTAATAATATAGTGCTTCCTAGAGTGTGTTTTGTATTATTTTAGGATCTTAGAACATATGAGGTAAAAATAAAATAAAATGAGAAAACAAAACAACATTCTTTAAATGATGGTTTATGAAAATGTATGTCAGAAAGAGAGTAAGAAGGAGAAAAAAGAATAAGGAGGAGAGCAAAAGAGAGACTGAAAGTGAAAGAAGAGAAATACAGTAATAAGTATGGAAAAAACTGATGGAAAGAATAGGAAGAAAAGGAGGAAGAGGAAAAGATGGAGGAGAAGGAGGAGAGGAAAAGGAGAAGGAAGAGGAAGAGGAGGAGGGAAGAGGGAAGAGATGGGGAAAGAAAAAGAATGGAGAAGCAAAAGGAGAACCAGGATCCTGTGAGTAAAAAGACCAAAGCTTTTCCTTTCACTTGCAAAGCCAGACATTCACCTGCTGACATTCAGAGGATCATGTAGAGAATCAAGCTGTTGGGTAATGAGAAGGTGATCTCCTGCCTTAGGGCTTGCTTTCATGGAAAAGAAGTGGACGTGGGGAAAAATGAATGAACGTTCCTGCCAATGAGATGTGGGGAGAGACCATTAGGTCTTGGCTAGTTCTCAGGTACTGCAAATGCCATTTGTCTAGGCCTAGAACTGTCCTTGTTGCTGGGTAAATGATAGCAGTTTGAGAGGCTCCCAAGGAAATGTGGGGGGTTGCCCAGAAACATAAGGCTGGTGAATCTAGAGGTCAAAGTAAGATTTCAAGTTGGCAAAAAAGGAACAAAATTGCACTTATTTTGTTGCCTTTTCTATCCAAAGGGTTGGAGAACAAAACAGAGCAACTTCTAGAATATCTTTTCATTCATTCTAAAAAATTATCATGATAACCTTGCCTGGATGACATTATAAAACATTTTAGCAAGGAAAAAAATCAACAGAATGTGCCTTTGATATCTTTTCTGACATTATGAAGAACCTCCTCTCCCAAACTCCTCTCCCACTGTTGATTATGAGATTCTCACCTTTTCCAAAATAAATGCAGAATGAAATCAAGAAAGTTTTATTTTAAGTGGAAATTTGTTTTATCTTTAAGAGCTTTTTGGGAGAGACAGTAGTACATATTATTACAGATTATTTTCTGATCAATATTTATAAGAACGTATTTTGTACTAAGGGCCAACTGAATTCACTGAAGACTCATTTTAAAGCCATTACTCTAAGAAATATTTTAAAATTCATATGCCATTTCCCCCACTTTTAGAGCTCAGTAAACAGAAAAGTTTAAATGCATTTGCTAATTTCCTAGTTTAATTCAGTAGCAATGCCAGTGTTGAAATTTAGCAATTCCATTATGAGAGCTTAAGTTCCATTTATTAAAACTGTACCCAATTTACCCATTTATGCCTTTTGTTTTAATGGGAAGAGCTGCCTTATACGACTTCAGGGAGTATGCTGAACAAATGCACTAATGGTCACATTAAACCAGGAAATAATCTTAGGATACTGTCAGGCCTCTGAGCCCAAGCTAAGCTATCATATCCCCTGTGACCTGCACGTACACATCCAGATCGCTGGTTCCTGCCTTAACTGATGACATTGTCTTGTGAAATTTCTTCTCCTGGCTCATCCTGGCTCAAAAGCTCCCCCACTGAGTACCTTGTGACCCCCACTCCTGCCTGCCAGAGAACAACCCCCCTTTTTCCTTTACCTACCCAAATCCTATAAAACGGCCCCACCCCTATCTCCCTTCGCTGACTCTCTTTTCAGACTCAGCCCACCTGCACCCAGGTGAAATAAACAGCCATGTTGCTCACACAAAGCCTGTTTGGTGGTCTCTTCACACGGACGCGCATGAAATTTGGTGCCATGACTCCTATCGGGGGACCTCCCTTGGGAGATCAATCCCCTGTCCTTCTGCTCTTTGCTCCTTGAGAAAGATCCACCTACGACCTCAGGTCCTCAGACCGACCAGCCCAAGAAACATCTCACCAATTTCAAATCCGGTAAGCCGCCTCTTTTTACTCTCTTCTCCAACCTCCCTCACTATCACTCAACCTCTTTCTCCTTTCAATCTTGGCGCCACACTTTAATCTCTCCCTTCTTTTAATTTCAATTCCTTTCATTTTCTTCTAGAGACAAAGGAGACACGTTTTATCCGTGGACCCAAAACTCCGGCGCCAGTCACGGACTGGGAAGGCAGCCTTCCCTTGGTGTTTAATCATTCCAGGGACACCTCTCTGATTATTCACCCAGGCTTCAGAGGTGTCAGACCACGCAGGGACGCCTGCCTTGGTCCTTCACCCTTAGCGGCAAGTCCCACTTTTCTGGGGAAGGGGCCAGTACCCCAACCCCTTCTCTCCGTGTCTCTACCCCTTCTCCACCTTTCTGGGGGGCAAGAAACCCCCAACCTCTTCTCCTTCACCCTGAGTGGCAAGTCCCACTTTTCTAGAGGAGGGGCAAGTACCCCAACCTCATATCTCTGTGCCCATCCCTTATTTCCGTGCCCTGACCTCTTAAATCTCTGCACCCCGATCCCTTATTTCCACACCCCGACCTCGTATCTCTGTGCCCTGACCCCTTCTCTGCTTTTCTGGAGGGCAAGAACCCCCCATCCCCTCTCCGTGTCTCTACTCTTTTCTCTGGGCTTGCCTCCTTCACTATGGGCAAGCTTCCACCTTC
Source organism: Homo sapiens (assembly GCF_000001405.40). NCBI lineage: Eukaryota > Metazoa > Chordata > Mammalia > Primates > Hominidae > Homo > Homo sapiens. The sequence continues at coordinate 89,969,254 of NC_000004.12, read as the reverse complement.
CATTCCTCCTTCTTCTCCCTTAGCCTGTGTCCTTAAGAACTTAAAACCTCTTCAACTCTCACCTGACCTAAAATCTAAGCATCTTATTTTCTTCTGCAATGATGCTTGACCCCAATACAAACTGGACAGTAGTTCCAAATAGCCGGAAAACGGCACTTTCAATTTCTCCATCCCACAAGATCTAAATAATTCTTGTCGTAAAATGGGCAAATGGTCTGAGGTGCCTGACATCCAGGCATTCTTTTACACATCGGTCCCTTCCTAGTCTCTGTGCCCAATGCAACTCGTCCCAAATCTTCCTTCTTTCCCTTCCGCCTGTCCCCTCAGTCCCAACCCCAAGAGTCACTGAGTCTTTCTAATCTTCCTTTTCTACAGACCCATCTGACCTCTCCCCTCCTCCCCAGGCTGCTCCTCGCCAGACCGAGCTAGGTCCCAATTCTTCCTCAGCCTCCGCTCCTCCACCCTATAATCCTTTTATCGCCTCCCCTCCTCACACCTGGTCCGGCTTACAGTTTCCTTCCATGACTAGCCCTCCCCCTCCTGCCCAGCAATTTACTCTTAAAAAGGTGGCTGGAGCTAAAGGCATAGTCAAGGTTAATGCTCCTTTTTCCTTATCCCAAATCAGATAGCGTTTAGGTTCTTTTTCATCAAATATAAAAATCCAGCCCAGTTCATGACTTGTTTGGCAGCAACCCTGAGACACTTTACAGCCCTAGACCCTAAAAGGTCAAAAGGCCGTCTTATTCTCAAAATACATTTTATTACCCAATCTGCTCCCAACATTAAATAAAACTCCAAAAATTAAATTCTGGCCCTCAAACCCCACAACAGGATTTAATTAACCTCACCTTCAAGGTGTACAATAATAGAAAAAAGTTGCAGTTCCTTGCCTCCACTGTGAGACAAACCCCAGCCACATCTCCAGCACACAAGAACTTCCAAACGCCTGAACTGCAGCAGCCAGGTGTTCCTCCAGAACCTCCTCCCCGAGGAGCTTGCTACAAGTTCCAGAAATCTGGCCACCGGGCCAAGGAATGCCTGCAGCCCAGGATTCCTCCTAAGCCACATCCCATCTGTGTGGGACCCCACTGGAAATCGGACTGTCCAACTCACCTGGCAGCCACTCCCAGAGCCCCTGGAACTCTGGCCCAAGGCTCTCTGACTCCTTCCCAGATCTTCTTGGCTTAGCAGCTGAAGACTGACGCTGCCCGATCACCTCAGAAGCCCCCTAGACCATCACGGACACCGAGCTTCAGGTAACTCTCACAGTGGAAGGTAAGTCGGTCCCCTTCTTAATCAATACGGAGGCTACCCACTCCACATTACCTTATTTTCAAGGGTCTGTTTCCCTCACCTCCATAACTGTTGTGGGTATTGACAGCCAGGCTTCTACACCTCTTAAAACTCCCCAACTCTGGTGCCAACTTAGACAATACTCTTTTAAGCACTCCTTTTAGTTATCCCCACCTGCCCAGTTCCCTTATTAGGCCGAGACACTTTAACTAAATTATCTGCTTCCCTGACTATTCCTGGATTACAACTACATCTCATTGCTGCCCTTCTTCCCAATCCAAAGCCTCCTTTGCGTCCTCCTCTTGTATCCCCCCACCTTAACCCACAAGTATAAGATACCTCTACTCCCTCCTTGGTGACTGATCATGCACCCCTTACCATCTCATTAAAACCTAATCACCCTTACCCGGATCAATGCCAATATCCTATCCCACAGCATGCTTTGAAAGGATTAAAGCCTGTTATCACTCGCCTGCTACAGCATGGCCTTTCAAAGCCTATAAACTCTCCTTACCATTCCCCCATTTTACCTGTCCTAAAACCAGACAAGCCTTACAAGTTAGTTCAGGATCTATGCCTTATCAACCAAATTGTTTTGCCTATCCACCCCATGGTGCCAAACCCATATACTCTCCTATCCTCAATACCTCCCTCCACAATCCATTATTCTGTTCTGGATCTCAAACGCGCTTTCTTTACTATTCCTTTGCACCCGTCATCCCAGCCTCTCTTCGCTTTCACTTGGACTGACCCTGACACCCATTAGGCTCAGCAAATTACCTGGGCTGTACTGCCACAAGGCTTCACAGACAGCCCCCATTACTTCAGTCAAGCCCAAATTTCATCCTCATCTGTTACCTATCTCGGCATAATTCTCATAAAAACACACGTGCTTTCCCTGCTGATCGTGTCCGATTAATCTCCCAAACCTCAATCCCTTACAAAACAACAACTCCTTTCCTTCCTAGGCATGGACAACAACTCCTTTCCTTCCTAGGCATGGTTAGTGCAGTCAGATTTCTTACACAAGAGCCAGGACAGGACCGCACCTTGTAGCCTTTCTGTCCAAACAACTTGACCTTACTGTTTTAGCCTAGCCATCATGTCTCCGTGCAGTGGCTGCTGCCACCCTAATACTTTTAGAGGCCCTCAAAATCACAAACTCTGCTCAACTTAGTCTCTTACATTTCTCATAACTTCCAAAATCTATTTTCTTCCTCATACCTGACGCATACACTTTCTGCTCTCCGGCTCCTTCAGCTGTACTCACTCTTTGTTAAGTCCCACAATTACCATTGTTCCTGGCCCGGACTTCAATCTGGCCTCCCACATTATTCCTGATACCACACCTGACCCCCATGACTGTATCTTTCTGATCCACCTGACATTCACCCCATTTCCGCATATTTCCTTCTTTCCTATTCCTCACCCTGATCACGCTTGATTTATTGATGGCAGTTCTACCAGGCCTAATCACCACACACCAGCAAAGGCAGGCTATGCTATATAGTACAAGCCACTAACCCGCATCTTAGAACCTCTCATTTCCTTTCCATCATGGAAATCTATCCTCAGGGAGATCACTTCTCAGTGTTTCATCTGCTATTCTACTACTCCTCAGGGATTATTCAGGCCCCCTCCCTTCCCTACACATCAAGCTCAAGGATTTGCCCCCACCCAGGACTGGCAAATTAGCTTTACTCAACATGCCCCGAGTCAGATAACTAAAATACCTCTTAGTCTAGGTAGACACTTTCACTGGATAGGTACAGGCCTTTCCTACAGGGTCTGAGAAGGCTGCCACAGTCATTTCTTCCCTTCTGTCAACATAATTCCTCAGTTTAGCCTTCCCACCTCTATACAGTCTGATAAAAGACCAGCCTTTATTAGTCAAATCAGCCAAGCAGTTTTTCAGGCTCTTAGTATTCAGTGAAACCTTTATATCCCTTAAGGTCCTCCGTCTTCAGGAAGAGTAGAATGGACTAAAGGTCTTTTAAAAACACACCTCACTAAGCTCAGCCACCAATTTAAAAAGGACTGGACAATACTTTTATGACTTTCTCTTCTCAGAAGTCAGACCTGTCCTCAGAATGCTACAAGTTACAGCCCATTTGAGCTCCTGTATAGACGCTCCGTTTTATTAGGCCCCAGTCTCATTCCAGACACCAGACCAACTTAGAATGTGCCCCCAAAAACTTGTCATCCCTACTATCTTCTGTCTAGTCATACTCCTATTCAGCGTTCTCAACTACTCATACATGCCCTGCTCTTGTTTACACTGCCGGTTTACACTGTTTCTCCAAGCCATCACAGCTGATATCTCCTGGTGCTATCCCCAAACTGCCACTCTTAACTCTTGACGTAAATAAATAATCTTTGTTGGCAGGACTATGCCGAATCTCCTTAGGCACTCTCTAATCAGATGTCCTGAGTCTTCCCAATTCTTAGACCTTTTATACCTGTTTTTCTCCTTCTCTTATTCCATTTAGTTTTTCAATTCATACAAAACTGTATCCATGCCATCACCAATAATTCTAAATTACAAATGTTCCTTCTAACAACCCCACAAATATCACTCCTTACCACAAAATCTTCCTTCAGCTTAATCTCTCCCACTCTAGGTTCCCACACCGCCCCTAATCCCGCTCGAAGCAGCCCTGAGAAACATCGCCCATTATCTCTCCATACCATCCCCCAAAATTTTCGCTGTCCCAACACTTTACCACTATTTCATTTTATTTTTCTTATTAATATAAGAAGACAGGAATGTCAGGCCTCTGAGCCCAAGCTAAGCTATCATATACCCTGTGACCTGCACGTACACATCCAGATCGCTTGTTCCTGCCTTAACTGATGACATTCCGCCACAGAAGAAGTGAAAATGGCCTGTTCCTGCCTTAACTGGTGACATTGTCTTGTGAAATTCCTTCTCCTGGCTCATCCTGGCTCAAAAGCTCCCCTACTGAGTACCTTGTGACCCCCACTCCTGCCTGCCAGAGAACAACCCCCCTTTTTCCTTTACCTACCCAAATCCTATAAAACGGCCCCACCCCTCTCTCCCTTCGCTGACTCTCTTTTTGGACTCAGCCCCCCTGCACCCAGGTGAAATAAACAGCCATGTTGCTCACACAAAGCCTGTTTGGTGGTCTCTTCACACGGACGCGCATGAAAGATACCACTGAAAGAAAATTTATGAAAATGGTAAGTTTTTTTTCTCTCGTTAGGCAAATTACTAGTTTCAAGAGTTAAGAGGGAAATAAATGAGAACACATACTCACGAATAATTTTTTAAATGGAGGCATAATCCCAGTCCTTTTTCTTCCCATTTTGTGACACTAGTATTGAAACCGCCTTTGCAAAATTATGACTCAAACAGTGAAACAGATCCAATTTAACTGACTCCATCTTTCTTCTAACCTCCAAGCTGTCCTTGTTCATTCCTGACCGTAGGCTGAACTAACTTTGGGAGAAACTTAGTTTGTAGTTTATAGTTTAAACAAAGACAGCCTTTCCCAAAGCAGACTTCCTTCTTGCATGGGGACTAGACTAACATTAGCCACGGGATTAGAAATTATGGTTTAGGAGTCATGTAGCTCCTAAGATCAGTGCTTGAGATATGTTGCAGACCCTGCACTTGATGGATCAGCTAGCCCCACCCAGATCAATAAACTGGCTTGTCTGATCTTGTGGCCCCCACCCAGGAACCGACTCAGCACCAGAAGACAGCTTCCACTCCCTGTGATTTCAGCCCTGACCAATCAGCATTCCTGACTCACTGGCTCCCCACCAACCTACCAAGTTATTGTTAAAAGCTCTGCTCCTGGCCAGGCGCAGTGGCTCACACCTGTAATCCCAGCACTTTGGGAGGGCAAGGCGAGTAGATCATAAGGTCAAGAGATCGAGACCATCCTTCCTGGCCAACATGGTGAAACCGTCTCTACTAAAAATACAAAAATTAGCTGGGTGTGGTGGCAGCGCCTGTAGTTCCAGCTACTCAGGAGGCTGAGGCAGGAGAATTGCTTGAACCCAGGAGGCGGAGGTTGCAGTGAGCCGAGATTGTGCCACTGCATTCCAGCCTGGCAACAGAGAGAGATTCCGTCTCAAAACAAAAACAAAACAAAAACTCTGCTCCCTGAATGCTCAGGGAGACTGATTTGAGTAATAATAAACTCCGGTCTCCTGCACAGCTGGCTCTGTGTGAATTACTCTTTCTCTACTGCAATTCCCCTGTCTTGATGAATTGGCTCTGTCTAGGCAGTGGGCAAGGTGAACCCCTTGGGCAGCTACAGTATTAAGTTACTCACAGAATGACAATTTTTTTTTCTTCGATTTTAAGTTCAGGGATATATGTGCAGGATGTGCAGGTTTGTTACATAGGTAAACGTGTGCTATGGTGGTTTGCTGCACAGATCATCCCATCACCTAGGTATTAAGCCCAGCACCCATTAGCTATTCTTCCTGATGCTCTCCTGCCCACCTCCCCCACCTCTAATGACAGGCTGCAGTGTTTGTTATTCCCGTCTATGTGTCCATGTGTTCTCACTGTTCAACTCCCACTTGTAAGTAAGAACATGCAGGGTTTGGTTTGCTGTTTCCTTGTCAGTTTGTTGAGGATGATGGCCTCCAGCTCCATCCATGTCCCTCCAAAGGACATGATCTTGTTCCTTTTTATGGCTGCATAGTATTCCATGGTGTTTATGTACCACATTTTCTTTATCCAGTCTCTCATTGATGGCCATTTTGAGTTGATTCCATGTCATTGCTACTGTGAATAATAGTGCTGCAATGAGCATACATTTGCATGTATCTTTATAATAGAATGATTTATATTCATTTGGGCATATACCCAGTAATGGGATTGCTGGGTCAAATGGTATTTCTGCCTCTAGGTCTTTGAGGAGTCACCACACTGTCTTCCACAATACCTGAACTAATTTACACGCCCACCAACAGTGTAAAAGTGTTCCATTTTCTCTGCAACCTCGCCAGCATCTGTTGCAGAAAGGCAATTTCACAAAGTCCAAAGGATGGACTTAAGATGTGTTCAAAAGTATGTCTCAAAATGTGTTGAAGATAAATTTGCAAGTTTTCAAAATGGCAACTGGAGTGAGTAGAGACAGTAATGGTTTCCTATTATAGATTTCCTCTGCTAGTTTTTCACATCATCTAGGTTAGAGGGAGGTTGAAGAAATGGTAACAGGATCTTACATCTCTTTGGCTTTCACTCTGCCACACTATCTCACACTGTGTCTGTCCACCCTCTATCTCTTAACACGGACCAGTTTACCAGTTTGGATATACAGTTGACCCTTGAACAACATAGGTTTGTATTGTGTGGGTCCAATCATACACAGGTTTTCTTTTCAACATTTTTTAAAATTAAAATAGAGACAAGGTTTCACCATGTTGACCAGGCTGATCTCAAACTCCTGTGCTCAAGCAATCCAGCCCCCTTGACCTTCTAAATTGCAGGTATTACAGGCGTGAGCAACCGGGCCTGGCCTATACACAGGTTTTCTTAAGCCTCTCTCACCCCCCACCCTGGAGAGAGCAAGACCAACCCTTTCTCTTCCTTTTCCTCCTCAGCTTACTGGACATAAAGATGAGGATGAAGACCTTTGTGATGATCCACTTTCACTTAATGAATAATACATATATTTCCTCTTATGAATTTCTTAATAACCTTTTCTCTAGCTTACTTTATTGTAAAAATGCAGTATATAATACATATAACATATAAAATATGAGCTAATTGACTAGTTGATGTTATCAATAAGGCTTCTGTCAATAGTAGACTATTCGTAGTTAAGTTTTTGGGGAGTTAAAATTTTCATGCAGATTTTTGATGCACAGGGGGTCAATTGTAGTTTTTTCCTCCTTCTCATTCCCCTCCTTTCTCTCATTGTCATCCTCCTTCTCTTCCTCTTTCTCCCACTTTCCTTCCTCTTCCTCCTCCTTATTTCTGTTCTGTTCTTTTGTCCCCTACCTCTAATTCTTGTTCTTTTCTTGCCTTTGTTATTAACTTCTGCCAGGTAGCCACCAGAAGATGAAAAACAATAGAGAAATAAAACATCCAGGAGGTTTGTTCCTGAAGTTTGTATTGCTTTATATTTTATAATTATAGAAAAAATGATATTATGCCTCTAAAAGTGTAGTGATATAAGGAAGATTAGTCACTCTGGGTAATGTTCACATCAAAAAGAAAATGACGAAAGCAATTCTGCATTATTATTCACTGTTGAATGTGGTCACTCCCCCAAGGCTGGAACCATTTGGCCCTATTGAAAATATTTTTCTCACAGGGTCATTTGCCAAGTCAATTTCTCCATTGGTGTGGTTAACCTAAAACAATCATGAGATCTATAAATTTAGAAAGGGAGACTTTATTTCTTGTAAAAGGTTACAGCCTTGCGAGGAGCCCATCTGGCAGGCTGGGAAGTGTGCCTCCAGGTGAAGCCATTTGCAGGCACTTTGAGGAAAGGAGGGGTAAGACAAGAATTTAAGTTGAAAAGGTTGGCCAAACATACATATTCAACAGATTACAGGAGGAGCTATGAATATTCATGAAGGTAGTCTTGACACATGAATATTAAGTAAACATGCATGTAATATATGACCCTTGTTTACCTTGGGGTGCAACTTAACATTTAAATGTGTTACAGTTAGATCCTATACATCAAAAGATGAAGGAGAGATACAGAGGCACTCAGCCATAACCAGTCCATGGTCAGTGGTCTTATCAGGAGACAGTTACTGAAATCAGTCTCTTGCCCAATCAAAGCTGTAGTTATGGCTTGTGGAGCAGGGGCCAGGGGCCAGTTAGTCAGCGTGTGGTAGAGTTGCAAATTGTTTTAATTTTGCTTATCTCAAGGCAGTGCTTGTTTAGTTGCTAGAAAAAACAACAACAACAAAAAACCCTTGTGGCAGTTAAAATATAGTTTATTCTTTAAGTATAGGGGTGTATGATTTAACCCTTGCCTGGCATGGCCTTAGTTGCTGTTTATAATTTAATATCTCATTGCCACAAAGAGTCTGTTCTCTGTCAGTCTTGTGATCTTTATTTTAACATCAATGCTGGTCAACTGTTGTGTCTAGACCCCAAAAGAGAGGAGGTATTGTTAGGGACAGGAGGCAGAGAAATTCTAGGCAGAAAGGGCAGGGTTCCTGCCCAGGGCCCCACCCTCAAGCCTGAAATCTCAGACCAAAGTGAGAACTTTACATCCCCATTTTCCTGCTCGAATGTCACCTTTTCCAAAACCAACCCTGGCCTGCACCGACCCCCATCCTGTTCCCATAAAAACCCCAGGCTCCACTGGCAGAGAGCAGAGAAGTGGAGAAGAGAAGAAGTGGTTGAACATCAGAGAGAAACAGTTTGACTTCAGAGGGACGGCTTGACTGCAGGACTTCAGAGAAGAGTCTGGCTGGAGATGGCCGGACTTCAGGGGAAGTTCCCACTCCATCCCCTTTCCAGCTCACCCTTCCTCTGAGAGCCGCTTCCATCAGCAATAAAATCCTCCTCATTCACCACCCTTTAATTCATTTGTGCAATCTGATTTTTCCTGGACAAGAGCTTGGGTGTCACACAGGTGTGGATGCTAAAGGCTGTCACACTGACCCTCTGCCCTCACTGGTGGAGAGCAACTGCCTCACATAAAAAGGCAGAGGCCAACTGAGCTGTTTAACACTTAAGTCGTCCACAGATTGCAAAGCTAAAAGAGTGCACTGTAACACACCCCTCTGGGGCTTTGGGGGTTGTGGGTACTCCTGCGAGATGCTGCTACAAGGCCTGCATGGAGTTTTGCTTCTGCTGGCACCCAGAAGCACTTGCCCTATCTCTTGCACCCTTTCACCTGTGTGCTCCCACTCCTGTGAGGGGTTGGACTGAGTAAGTGAGGTACCTCTGCTGTGAGGCCCACAAAGTGGTCATGGAAAATGTCCTGTTTCAGTATAACGAGGCATGTCTGGCTTTCCATCCTGTCCTGGCCAGGAACTCAGTTTTTAAGGTGTCTCTGGGATCCCCTTGGCCAAGATGTATCTGTTCAATTGGTGGAGGTACTTAGGATTTTAATTTGAAGTGTGAAGAAGTCACATCTTGTTGGCAAAACTGCATCAGTGTGTTAGGATATAGCTAGAGCATGTAGTAGCTGTTTGTTAAAACCCAGAATGAGGATATTTTAAGAAGATTCGATGTCTTCATTGTAGGCTTAATTCAATGAAGATGACAACATTAATCAAATGTAGATGTCATATTTTACCTCTTCAGATTATAAAAAGAAAAATTAGGATTAGTTTTGGGATTGATATTTAAAAATTCATATATATCTCCATTAAGATGTGTAAAATGAATTTTACTACAAAATTTTCTAAGTTTTATAACTTTCTCAGATATTTTTTTCATGAATTTAAGACATTTAATTTTTTCTATATTTCCAGCATGTTCTGAGCATTTACTGAATTCAGTGTTTTTTCCACTAGCCACAGTGCCAAGAACTTTATTGATGAGCAATTGGTATGTGGCCTCATGGAATTCTAAAATGCTCTGTGGGCATTTTAATATACTTATTCTTCAAAACAGATTATAGAATCAGTTTTCAGATACTAGTATTGTTCCAATGATACCTACAATGTATTTCTTAAATTTAAAGGTTCTTTTGTGATACCCAAGAATGCCTTTAGCGCATGTAGGTGTGCTGTTGATAATAATGATGGCTTCTTTTTCTCAAACAGATGTTCTCCTTTGAGTGTACACATGGAAAGAAAGAAGCCACAATTATACAGAAATGCAATTTGTTTATTCTTCCCTCCACCTTTGTTTATTCTGCCCTTCATTGCATGGGGTAGATTACATAACTTACTGTTAACAGAGATCTGTGATAGAGGAAAACTCACTGATGATCTGTCAGTCTGCTGACCATTTAAAGGAAATAGAATTAATATATGAAATAGAATCAAGATTCAAGGGATTTAATGACAAGATTCAGAAAGGGCAGTAAAAGTCACATTAAAAAGACATGCAATCTCTGGAGGGTCTTTGAATTTCATCTACAGAATAACTTCTACACTATTTAGCTTTCTCTTCAGCTGGAATAAAGAAACCTAAATATATTCATTAAAATAGCAAAGCTATGATGGTAGGCAAAAAGGTAGAGTAGAGAATTGAAGGAGGGTTTGAGACTGTGGGAGGAATCTTTGTAGGTTATTTTTTGTTAATAGCAAGGTTACTCTATGACAAATCATAAAAATTAATGCATGTGAATATACCTAAGAAATTAGGATAAGGAAAGACCATATTCTTGAGATATATTTGATATGTAAATAGCAACTAAATGTCTTTGTATAACTTTAGTACTTTTCTCCACACAAATTATACATCTAGTCACCTTAAATCGCTTTTAGAAAGGGTTTGGAAGCACAAATAAATGTATTTTTCCTACATATATTTTCTGGCAAATTACTATCATCCTTAATCCATAGATTTCATACCAATAAAGAAATGTACGTGTGGTTCTGTTTATATATATTATGCGTAATTACATATTTTGAAGATGATAGTGGCAGCAAACATAAATGAGGGGAAGTAAATTACAAAAATAACAGAAACTATCCATAATCGTCTGTATCCTGGTAAGAGGAATTCAGTGAGTCAATTTCTTTCTTTATCAGTGGCTTCAAGTTAGGAGAGTAAAGTGGTATTTATAAGAACACCTGTTCCTTGGGTTGCATCATGTACTATTTTCACTGTTAACTTGAGTAGATATAATTATTAGTATGAATCAAAAAAATAGGAAATCCAAATAAATATTTGAATCCAAATAATATGTTGAAAAAAACACCAACTTTAAGACAATGTTACGTAGCACTTTCACTGTTATCTTCAGTGGGCTTGATATAAATGTTTATTTGAATCTAATAGGAAATCATGTTACAACTAGGATCTACTATAGACTGATATTTTAAAATCTATGCAAAGAATGTTTTAAAACACCATCCTAAATATCACTACATTCAACACTTGGTACTATACACTGCATCTTTGTGCCCCCTCCCTGCCTCAAATGTATATGTTGAAGCTCTAACCCCAAATGTGATGGTATTTGGAGGTGGGGTTTTGGGAGTTAATTAGGTTTAGATGAGGTCATGAGGGTGGGGCCCCATGATGGGCCCCGACCAGGGATTAGTGTCTTTAAAAGAAGGAAGAGACCAGAGCATTCATGTGCTCTCCGCCCTCATGCTCCTCTCTCTCCCTCTTTCACTCTGTCTTCCTCTCTTTCTCTCTCTGCATGTGAAGACACAATGAGAAGGCAGCCTTTTGCCTTGTATAAGCCAGGAAAAGGGACCTCACTAGAGACACCAAATCTGCTGGCACCTTGATCTTGGAATTGTCAGCTCTCAGAACTGTGAGAAATAAATGTCTGTTGTTTAAGCCACCCAGACTATGGAACTTTGTTGTGGCAGCCTAAGCTAACTTAAATAGTTGGAATCTGAAAAGTGTTTTGACTAAAGCCCTGGCTTTGAAAGTTGATGAAGCAATTCATGAGTAAATATAATAAAAACTCCAAAATTTGGACTTTTCCCAGAGTTTTAGATTATGTAATTAGGATGTCAGCCCAGAGAAATAAATACTACTTTATTGTTGTTTTCTCTGAACACAAATGCAGTATAGCTCATTGAGAATTCTCACTGAGCTGTGGTAAAAGCACTGAAGGGAAGGTTCTTAATAACACTCCCCAGGCTGTTGATGAAACCCTCGGTTTGAAATCACCGGGACAGGAAATAAGCAAACATCCCTTCCTTCCACACAGGAGAGCAACTCAGCTAAATTGTACACTCTAGGAAGGGCAGGCCTATATTTTTGCTTTAATGTATCCCACAGGTGCCTTGCAATGATAAATGATAGAAAAAATTTTGAATAATGAGAAAAATTTTGCTACATTGAAAATTATCTTTGTTGAAGACATATACTATGTATGGCTCACGAGGTTTCCAATGTGAGTTAATAAATTTATATTTTGAAACAGATGAACAACAACCAAAAAATTATCTCTATGTGCACTAAAAACCAAGCCAAATGAAAATTAGGATGGCTTATTTTAATCATTTCTTAATGATTAACTAATAATAGCTTATTCTTCCAAATTGAGAATTTTAACTGGTGAAATGAGTAAGAAAGAGCAATTGTAGACACTTATGGCTTTGTATGGGAAGTCTCTCAATTCTGGGAATGATACAAAAGGAGGTAATAGAAGATTGGTCAATAGTGCAAAGAAAAAAAAAAAAAAAAGAGACCGGTGGTTATTGAAGATAAATTTCTCATTCTTACAGAGCTATCCATGATTCTGGTGGTAGTAAATGCCATCATGACCCCGGATTATGTATTTCAAATGCAACATTTGTCTGTACTGATTTACTTTATATACTTTTTATTATTTGTTATATATAATTTAACATGCCTCCTATATTATGTACCTTCAATTAGGTATAATAATTAGCTACTTATTAAGTAATAAATGAATGGATTTGAGATTTTCATCAGTAATTAGTGACCTGATGTACTTTGGGAGCTGGTGTGGCAGGAAGATATTGTGAGAGAGAAGGGCTCTGAAATTGAATCTACAAAATAATATTCAAGGTACTTGGCTATGTCCATAGAAGAAATAAAGAAACGTTCCAGTGCTATATTTTTTTCTACATGAATAAGTTTGAAGATGACCATTAAAAATACAATACTAAATTATCTTTGATTATATTGAGTGGCTTTAAAAATATAGCCAAGCAAGTTCACAGCAACTTAAAAGTTGCTATAATGCCTCTTGGCTATTGGTGGCAATTTGTTATTTAATTGTATATTCTATGAATCCATATAAAAATAAAGACTATTATTAATAATTATATTTCCAAACACCAAAGCATTATTTAATGCTAAATGTTATTATCTAATTAAAAATCAATAAATTATATTGGACAATGCAATGATGAACATTGTCAAATGATTTACTTCCTTCTGTTCTGGTAACAGTAAAGAAAAACAATATAATGAAATCACTGAAATCTATGTTGAAAAGTATATTTGGAAAGCAAAAATTGTATTTTAATCTGTGAGTCCTTGAAGAAATAAAATTTTAAAAATTTAGATTATAGTAAATTTTTAGGCAGGGACTGAAGATATCATAAGAACTTTTTAAATGTTTTTGAAAATGACATGTTTACACATAACAGGATAAAAATTGTCATCATTCAGTGATATGTTTGAATTTGTGTCCCCACGAAAATCTCATATCGAATTATAATCCCCAGTGTTGGAGGAGGGGCCTGGTGGGATTTGACTGGACCATGGGGGTGAATTTCCCCCCAGCTACTCTCCTGATAGTGAGTTCACACGAGATCTGATTGTTTAAATGTATGTGGCACCTCCTACCTCTCCCCCTTCCACCTCCCCCAGCCACGTAAGACGTGCCTGCTTCCCCTTCACCTTCTGCTGTGGTTATAAGTTTCATGAGGCCTTCCGGGCCATGTTTCCTATACAGCCTGTGGAAATGTGAGTTAATTAAACCTCTTTTCTTAATAAGTTACCCAGTCTTGGGTAGTTCTTTATAGCAATGCGAGGATGGACTAATGCATCCAGCTGTCGGTTTTAACTCTTAGGTCACACTCTTCTTTGGCAGCCTGAATCTAGTACTGAGTGAGGCTAGGGTATGAAGGCCTGATTATTTTGACTCAGCGCAGGACATTCTGATGGACAATACTTACTTTAGAGTTCCTCCTTGCAGAGGTGACAAAGTTTGTTAGACTGCAGTTTAAAATCTTCTGCATAGTTATTGTGAAATTCCCAGGTGTTGTACTCTATTGTATTTGTATGCGAAAGTTTGCGTAACCCTTTGTCTGTCGCGGGACATGCGGGTGATTCCCAGTTTTCAGCTATTACAAATAAACTGACTATGAACATTTACTTACAAGTCTTTGTATGGATGTATGCTTTCAAGTTTTAGCAAATTTGAAAAATTTTCAAGTATCTTCTACAAATAGAAGATATTCACTTTCAGGACTGGAAATATTTCAAAAATTGTTAATTTTGATGAGGATGTGTGGGGTATAAAGAGCAGTTTTTCATAGACTTAGATTGTTAGTACCCATCGAAATGGAAAATTATGATCATCCTTTGTCCCAGAAATTCTCCATCATTGGTTATACTACTGAGAAAATTATTTAACTTCTATGTGCTTCTGATTCTCATGGGCAGAAAGAGAGTAATAATATGTAGTACAAATATCATAGGTTAATATGTAATTCATTATGTTATAGTGATCATTAAACAAATCAATTCATAAAAAAGGCTTACCATACCAAAACTTTTTTATTATTATTTTTATTATTACTTATGAAAATCTGTTTTTCAGAAACACGTTGTCAGATATCCAAGGAATGTATTTTTAAGCATGTTCACCACAGTAATATTGTAATAATAAAAAATGGGAGACAACACAAATAGAGGATAAAGGATTAGTTAAATAAATTTTAGCACATCTGTGGGAGGCAATATAGAGAAAGGATGGATGTGGGCTCTGGAGAAGACATGGCCTGATTCCAAATCCTGCCTCAGCCCTATGAGCTCATGGGCCTTGGTCTCTGTGTCTTAGGTTCTTCAACTATAAAAATCATGGTAATCATGCCCACTTTACAAGGGTTATTGTGAGGAATGAGACATTACATGTAAATTGTTTAGAAGAGAAACAGGGCATAGTGAGCATCCCATAAATTGTAGTATTACACAGATTATGACTTACCCTTTAGAAGAAGAAGGGCAGATCTGTAGGTACTACCATAGAAGAATACTTATTAGAAAAAGACTTTTTGCCCCTTATAGATGTTGTGGGGCGGGGGGCGGTAAATGATCCACTCATATATTCTTAGACTTGAGTGTACATGTCCAACTACATGTAAATTACTATGTTATAATTAGAGAATTATAGGAAGAGAACAATAGTTAAGCATTTTTCATATTTTCAGTCCAACTTTCTTAATTTTGATTCTGAATGAAAATCTTAGTATGGAAAATTGATCAACTCAACGTAAAGAGTAAAAATAAAAGTTTACAAAATCAATTTTCATTTTTTGAGTAATTTATTTAAATTTGTGAATCTAGAAAATGTGTGTTATATATTTATATACAGGGAATAACAAAAGTTAAGTGTTTAATTGGAAAGAAAACTGTGACTGATAATATGTTGTAATTACCATTTTATAATATTACTTTCCATTGCAATGACTTAAAATGAAGAAATAAGAATAGGAATAATTATGCTAACAAATTCACTTTGTTTTCTGTGCCACTAAATTTCTTTAGGATCAAGAACTCTTTCATATTCAGACATTAAACAATATTCAAATAATTTTATAAAATAGACATACAAGTTTACTCATATTAAAAAAACAAGTTGATTTTCATTTCCTGTAGAAAAACCAAAACAGAGCAGATGTGCAAGCAAAGATAAATGAAAACACTGGCTGTTTCTCAATAAAGGTGATAGTCTGTTTTTCATACTAACTTATGTACGATATAATAAATAGCCACTAAATGTAGTAACAGGGGGAAACTTGGCTGGAATTGTTCCTTTTGCAAGTCGTAACCAGACTTCCTGCCCATAATTTAATTCTAATAAGGCATCCCCAGTTAAAACCCTATCACAGTGTATTTCACTGTTAATATTTTCAGACTCAAATGCAAGCTTGTCTATTCCATCAACCACTAAAAATCCAGAAATATGAGCACTAAATGACTCGATGGTGTACTTGAAAACATATACTCCAAGATACGGAATTCTAAATTTTCCAGTTCTTGGGGTATATGAAGCTCCATAATTGACATCCAAGTTATTAAACAGGATAGGACCAGGTATAGTCATTCCATACGTATGAGATGCAAAAAATGCCACCATGGGTGCATATCTGTAAGATCCTTTGGAAAAATCTGTTAGAGGAAAAAATGGCAAGAGTTAATTTTCATGTTTTTATCTTATTTTTCTTTCCTTATATCTTCGTCATTTTTATCTCAGTTACAAAAAGTCTTAGCAGAAGAGAAAGGCCATCCATCAAACTTAGCAAAGGTGCACGTGTCTCAATGCCTGTCTCTTCTCTGGGGTAAATTACTCTAAATTGCTTAGCCTCTTGTTGCCTCAGTTTCTCCATTTAGATCAGGACAGAATAAAAATAACATTTGATACCTTCCTCACAGAAATGCCTCAAAGATAATTTGCATGTTGCTTTGATCTCCCCAGAGATAAAGGAATTCAAAGCACTCTATGATTATTATGGTTATGTCAGAATGTTTTAAAGCCCCTTGCAGGAATTGAAGCTGACATGATGTAGAAACAATTTTTCCGGCACCTTGTCAAGCAGTTTCTAAAGGCTAAAACGAAAACCATATAAAGTCATATTCACTGCAGCAAAGTAGACAAAGGCAATTTTCTGTGTAATTAATGCCAATTGTACTTACAAAGGCTGAGATCTAAAAACAGACTAAAAAATTTACATTTCACTATGCAGGATATTATTAAGAAAAAGCTGATTTGAAATAGGTTTTTTTGCAGTCATTAAATAACACATTTTTATGCTGCACATACATTTCTGTATAAAAATCAGAAATGGTGCACTCCTGAAGTAAATCCAAAGCACCAATACTTATGAATTTAAATAAATAAAAAAGCCATCTTGTTTTACTTAATACATTTGAGCATGTTCTAACAGTTCTCACACAGTCAAAATGGTGCCATTAGTTTAACCTTCACAGAAAACGTGTTACTAAGCATGTATTAAAGCCTCATTTAAATGACCATACCAGACATAAATCAAAGGCGTATTTCTTTAACTGCTTGTTTGAGGAGAAAGTGTTTCTATCAGTCAGATATATACATCCATATATTTTTAGGATGCACAAGAGAAAAAAAGTTTGTGAGGGGGTAGAATTTTCCATAAACTGCCTCTATATAGCAATATTGAAAATTTCAACAGGTGCATGTGAATAAGAATTTGCCTAACAAAAGGACATTTCCACTTGTAAATCAGGTACATTCTTCAGTAAGTTTCGAAAAAGTAAAAGGAATTGTCAAGTGGATCCAGATTAAGCAGGCTTAAATATTCATTAATAAATATTTTCAAAACGTGTTTCTATTTATGACAATGAGCAAATCCAAAGATGCGTATACTTTTTTTTTACCTGGAGCTAAAGCATTTTCTTCCACAAGCTTGATAGTGCAGTTGTCACCAGTAAAAGGATGTCTGCAGGCACAGGTAAAGCTAGTTCTTCCATTTATGCACGTGCCCCCATTTTGGCACGGATGCCGACTACAGCTTGAATACTCCTCTGTTACGGAAAAAGAATCAAGGTAAAAGAGAATAAAGTGACCTATTTTCCTGTTGATCTCAAATCGTAGTTTGCAGCAGAATAGGAAAAAGACTGAATTTTAAGTAAGAAAAATGGGCTCCACGGCCCAGGATGCCTGTCGATCTGGGCACAGGACGTCATGCAAATCCCTTAGCTCTGATCTCTCTATCTCCTTCAGTAAAGTGGGCAAAATTCTGTGATCCATTACATTTATTGGTGTGAAATGTTAACATTCTTGTCAACTGCAGAACAGAATAGAATTATCTCAATACAAATCATGTATATTTGAAACTGGTACTTGATAAAGGTAATGCTTTAAATCACTGAGAAGAAAAATATCTGTTCGATACATGGTGCTAAGGTGGTATTGAATATATATTAGAAACATAAATTCCACATATACAAAAATACTAAATATAAAAAAACCAATATGATTGCATTACAACAAAAAAGGAGAATATCTTTCTAGAGCTTTAAAATTTTAAAAAATTCTTTCAAAGCAAAACAAAGCAAAGCAAAGGAAAACAAAACTCAGAAACCATAAGAGAAAAACATTATCATGTTTGACCTAAGAATTAAAACTCATTTGCATTGAAAACCACCATTTTCAAAGTTTAATGATAAGTTACAAAATTAGAAGACATGGCAATCTAATGACTAATATTCATAACATATGAAAAACTCTGAAAAGAAAAAAAAAATTCTCCCTTAAAAATGGAAAATGAGGCCGGGTATGGTGGCTCACACCTGTAACCCCACCACTTCAGGAGGCCAAGGCAAGAGGATGGCTTGAGTCCAGGTGTTTGAGACCAGCCTGAGCAGCATAGTGATACCCCATCTCTAATTTTTTAAATAAAAAATAAATAAAAATAAGAAAATGGTCTTCACTTACAGATCAGAAAAAAATAAGTTAAAAAACGGAGAATGTATCAGTAGGCAAATCATTGAACAAAACCCACAAAAGGTCACTAAAAGTTTTAAAGCATATGCAACCTCATTACTAATTCAGAAATAATAAATTTAGCAATAATAACATTATTTAAATATAAGGTGGCAACATTTAAAAAGATACGTAGAAAATATCCAGTCATGTCAATATAAGGGAAAATGGGCCTTTTCATGCAATGCTGGCTGGAGTGTAAACTGCTATAGCTGTTAATAGGACAATGTGACGATATTTATCAGTATTAAAAAGGTTAATTTACTTTGAGCCAAACATTTCTTCTGGCAGTATATATATACTCCAGACATACTTGTCCATGTGCACAAAGACAATTCTTCAATTCAAAATGATATCACTTGCATTCTTGAAAAATTTAAAGACTCCTAAATGATCACTGATGCAGGACTTGTTAAATAAATTGTAACATATTCCCACTGAGGAATATTAGACAGCAATTAAAGAATGAGGTAGATTCTCCAACAGGTTTGGTTTACTGAAGACAGAAAGTTACAGCTCACACATTACATATAGAATAATTTCATTTGTTGTGAAAGCTTCAAATTATGAATATGGTTATAAACATAATGCATAATTATGTAAATGCAGAAACAAGGTCAGAAGAATTCAGCGCTTATACTACTTGCCACAGTTACTCTGGTGCCACCTTATGGTAATGATGTAGTTTACCATCCACTCATTTCAAACCAGGTGATTGTTGATGATTTTTAATTTGGAAGTTATTTGTTTTGTGTAATATTTTTCTCATGAAGTGAGACCTATAAATTTTTATATACATTTTGTTTCATAGCCATACAATTGAAATTCACATAAAATGTGAACAAACGGCATGCCTGTATTATTAAAATTTTTTGCAAAGCAAATATATTAATATTGTACTTATGTAATGAGAAATTAATCAGAATTATCTTGATATATTCTCTGCAATATTCTATAAACTATTTTCCTTATTAAGAAAAGTATTAAAATATTACATGTGTGTAATACCTTTTAACAAATATTTCGACTGGCTAACATTCCTTTAACCTCACTTTGCTGCATGTGAATAGATTATCAAATCCCTTTTTTGCTGCTCATTAACATTCCAGAACTTTGCCCATTATTTTCCTGCATTAAAAACATCAATGACTTTTCATTACTTATAGTAATGTGAATATTCTGTATCAAAGCATTTGCTTCATTTATTTTTACATTCTCTGAATTTAGCACAGTGATCAACTCACAGGAGAAGTTTCAATTAATGGGTTTCACTAGGAATGTATCAATTGTGCAGTAGAGTTGGGGGGAACACTAACTTATTTATGTAATTTGATCAGCTCTATAATTTTAATTTTCCCAAATATAAAAAATCACAGTCACCTGTAACCTTGGCCCTGTTCATGAATCAGGGATCAAAGCTGTGCTATAAGGAGAACTTAAGAAACTGTGGAAAAAATTAGATTTATCTGCATTGCTGTTGGCTCTACTCTGAATCTTCAGGATCAAGGATTCTGCCTGCTATTTAATGTCCAGGAGCAGCATTCCATTTTTTGCTTCTTTATGTTCCATTACTTTAGGAATTGGGTCTTGCCTTGCTGTAGTTCTTTGAGTCATTTCAGAGGGTGCTATTTTACCCCATTTTCCAATTTCTTTTTAGGGTCATTCATCTGGAGTAGGGCTACACTTAAGTTTAATTGAAGGTCTGCATCTACTACTACTGTTACAGTAGCCCAAACTTCTTGAGACTGCACACAGCTTGCCTTCTAGGACATCTTTCATGGTGCCTACTGATTATCTGCTCAGGATGCCTCAGCCACTTGTCTGTACCTGCTTCGACTGCTTCTGTTTTAAGTTCCTTTCTGTGCCTCTTTTTGCTATTTTAGGTATGTCTGGACTTTCCAAGTCTCTGCCAAAATAATCACATTTTAAAATATAAAATCATGTCCATGGCACCCAGAACTGGACATATTGTACCAGTTGAGCCCAAGCATAGTAGGTTATGGTAGCAATTGCTAGTTACCCCTGCTGAAATGAACTTACACTTCTGTCAAGATAACACAAGCATTAAGTATTCATTGTCTATTTCTGCATCTGTATCACACTGTCTCATAACAGGTCTCCTGTGCTCTGATGTATTGAAGCTTTCTAAAATCTCATGTCTATTTAATTCATTTAAACATGAATTTACAATTATTATTGATAATAAAATTTATCTTATTAGACATGAGTTA
Organism: Homo sapiens; assembly: GCF_000001405.40. NCBI lineage: Eukaryota > Metazoa > Chordata > Mammalia > Primates > Hominidae > Homo > Homo sapiens. The sequence continues at coordinate 89,948,412 of NC_000004.12, read as the reverse complement.
CCATCTCTGTCCATAGAAAGCATTCAGTTTTATTCTGTATAGATGTTTCAGCCACCCTCCCCTATCTTTGTTATCATTTCCAAATTTATGTCTCATGCGTTCCTCCAAGTTATCGATAAAAATACGTACTAGAAAAAAAATACCTGATGGATTAGTGACAAGTACAGAGCCTTATAACAGACAACTAAAGATTGAATGGCACTGATTTTCCAACTGAAGCTATTTGTACTTTGTTATACAATGAGTTAGAAATCAACTTTTGGCTGGGTACGGTGGCTCACGCCTGTAATCCTAGCACTTTGGGAGGCTGAGGCGGGCAGATCACCTGAGGTCGGGAGTTTGAGATCAGCCTGGCTAACATGGTGAAACCCCATCTCTACTAAAAATACAAAATTAGCTGGGTGTGGTGGTGTGTGCCTGTAATCCCAGCTACTCCGGAGGCTGAGGCAGGAGAATTACTTGAACCCAGGAGGCGGAGGTTGCAGTGAGCCAGGGTCACGCCACTGCACTCCAGCCTGGGCGACGGAGTGAGACTCTATCTCAAAAAACAAAACAAAACAAAATCAACTTTTGTACACCACCTGACTTATTTTTCTCCTTTATTATTAAAACGCTTAAAAAATGGTTAGGTACCTTTATAAGTACCTGCTCATATTTGTGCTTAATAGGCTACTTGTTCTTGAATTACCAACAAAAATCAAACTCCAATAAAGCATCATTTTCTTTATGACATCTTTCCTCATCCCTAGGAGTAAATCACTTTAGTTCTCTCCATTGCTGCCTGATGCTCCAAAGTTGTCTTCTTGAATTCATCACACTCAACTGTAATTGCTTTGGTGTCTTTCTTACTTCCAACAAGAGTATGAGCTTTCATGAGGTCAGGGATCATGTTCTCTATGACTTAAACTTCATATCAACCTTATTAGCACAGTGCCTGACATATAGAAAATACTAAAGTAGTTTTAAAAATGAATAGACAAATTAATAAAAGATGGAATAGAATACCACATTCTTATCAAATTTCAACCTTCTTCCCAGTTTCTCAAATGTCACAGAGTTTGACACTATGCTATCATTGTCATGTTATCCTAGAGACATGAATCTATTTATTTATTTATTTGTTTTATTTTTGAGATGGAGTCTCGCTCTGTCGTCCAGGCTGGAGTGCAGTAGCATGATCTTGGCTCACTGCAACCTCTGCCTCCTGGACTTAAGCTATTCTCCTGCCTCAGCCTCCCAAGTAGCTGGGACTACAGGTGTGCACCACCATGCCAGGCTATTTTTTGTATTTTTAGCAGAGACGGGGTTTCACCGTGTGGGCCAAGCTGGTCTCAAACTTCCAACCTCAGGTGATCCACCTGCCTTGGCCTCCCAAAATGTGGGATTACAGTGTGAGCCACTGTGCCCAGAAGTGAATCCATTTAAGCGAACTTTCCACAACTTCTCCCCTTACCTTGAGCTTCAATAACCTCTTAAACTCCTTCCTGTCCATTTTTTTTAATGGAGATCAGTGCAATTAGTTCAATAGTTCTTCCAAGTCAACATTCTACCACTGTGCAAGTAGCATAACTGATATTTCATTTATAAATTTCAATTTATTCTGGTCTTTGCTTTCTGGACCCTAATATGTGCTCTAGTTACAATTTTCTATTAATCCTAGTTTCATATTTCATAAATGTACATATTTGAACTAATTGGAGAGCACCTTGCATTTTCAAAGCACCCTGTCATTCCTAATATTTGTCATTTTTTATTATAATTACTCGATTAATGTATGAACTTCATGAGAAGAGGGGCTGTGTTGAGTTTACCGCTCTATTCACTCAACTTTCCTCAGTGCTCATTCAGAACTCATTCAACAGGAATTTGATGAATAAAGGGATACATTGTGTTGATGATTTCTACTGTATTCTTACATTTATTTCTATTACATATAATGTTATCTATCATATACTTTTATTTTAATTTTACTTTATATTTTATTGCTTACTTCTACTTTAGCATCAAAATCTTAATTTCTTCATGTAAACAGTAACATTGTAGAGGGCAGATAACTGATCTCTGCTAGGACACAATGGAGTTTCCAAGAGATTAGCGAGGGAACTTATCGTTTTGCCTGTCCTCCCATTTTATAATACACAGATGAAAGCATTACACAAATCTGCTCCTAGGTAACATGCCCACACAACATTTGCACTTTTCTTTATGTTTCATCCTGATTCCAATGCTCTGTAAAATGTTTTCATTTCCATATTAATGGACACATTCTTAAGTTTCAGTGCTATTATGCTTCCCCATTTGTCAAAACTGTTTATATCAAATAAGGCTTATCTTCCTGTTGCTCTAGAAATATTTCATATGCCCATTGCCAGCAACTTCTAGGAATACTAACATTTATTTGTTTTTATTAAGTTTTCAAATGCATTGCTCTAATTACTAACATTGTGTTCTTTGGTGTATAGATGGATGGAAATACTGTTTCAAACCATGTTTACTGCTTTTCCTTCAAACTGTCAGTTTTTATTTTTGGTATTCTTTTTATATCACACCAATTGTTTCTTATATTGTTTTCTGGGATCTTTTTTCCTCAACCCTTCATATATTACTTTAAGGCACATTTAGTTGTATCAGCAATCTTCAGCAAATATCTTAGACCTGTCCGAAAGGATTTACTTTATCCCTTGCTATTATTTTGTTATCTTAAGCTGTGACCTAGGAAATTAAATGTTTTTGTTTGATATCGTGAACTGATTTATCCTTTTTCTTTAGAGTTATAACCATCAATCAAGAGAAGAATTAAAAACATTGTCTGACCAATACATTAAAATATGTTCAGTGTTCCTAGTCACTAGGAAAATGCAAAACAAAACCACAGTGAGATATAACTATGTACCTACTAAAATAACATGAAAGATATTGACAATGTCAAGTGCTGGCAAAAATTTGGAGCAATTAGAATTCTCATATATTATTCATGGAAATGCCAAGTGGTTAGTCATTCCTTCTAAAGTTAAAACTATGTATCTTATAACCAAACTATGCTACTGCTGTATAATTATAAGAGAGAAACAAAAACTGACATTCATACAAAAACCTGTATGTGAATGTTTATAGCAGCTTTATCCACAGTAACCCCAGACTGGAAACAACCAAAAAAAGATCCTTCAACTGGTAAATAGATAAAGAAATTGTATATTTATACTATACACTACTTATGAATAAAAATGAATACATGCAAGAACATGGATGAATCTCAGATATGTTACATGAAGTGAAAGAAGCCAGACTCCAAAGCCTCCACATATTGTATGAGTTTGTTTCTTACATATTCTGGAAAAAATAGAATTGTCTGGGAAGAAAACAGATCACTGGTTGCTAGTGCTTGGTAGTAGGAACAGGTTTGACTACAAAGGTGCATGAGGAAATTTGGGGTGGTGATGGAACTGATCCCTATCTTGATTATGGTGAAGGTTATACGACTATGTATTTGTCAAAACTCATAGGCTATCTATCAACATTAGTACATTTAACTAAATGTAAGTTATACCACAAACAAATAAACTCGCGTTGTTTCAAGTCCCTTAATTTCCTACCTTGGATTTCAAAATCACTAAGAATATTGTAGTTCATCATCCCACCTTCTTTGTTGTCTATAAAACTTATTATTTTACCAAATGTAACTTCTCAAAAGTAATCTCCCTGCTCTTTGATTTCCATTCCATCCCCATTAACTTTTCTAATTGATGCTCTCATTTTCTCATATCTAGATGATTATAGCCGTCTTAACATCGCTTTGCCTGCCTCTAAACAACCCTCATCCATATAGCTGTGAAATCTGCTTCCCTAATTACAATGAGATATAACTGCACGCCTATTAAAATGATAAAAATAAAAGATATCCATAGTGTCATCATTGTCTGTTAAAAGTCTCATATTTAAATATTTTTTAATTTTTTGGACAAACTTTTTGGGCAAAGTTAACGTGCCCATGTGTATATATGTGCACACAGGTATAACACTTGGCCCTTTCATAAGTTGCTCAAGGGAGCGTAAATTGATACTCTCTGAAGAGAAACTTGGCAATATTTATCAAATTCTTTCAAAATGTGCATGGGCTTTGCACCAGTAATTTTACTTCTTGGATGTTATCTTAAGGAAATAAGATTAGAGATGGTCACAAAAATTAATTAGTGTGGCACTATTTAAAATAGAGAAAAAAATTAAAATGTACAAAAGTCAAAAATTGAATACAAGTTAGATAAATAGTTAGAATATGCTGTGGTATGTTGTTTCTTTTCTTTCACATTCAAAATAGCTTCATAATAACATGGTATTCTTATGCACATACCAAAATATCAAAAAAAGTATAAAATATAACAGAACATTGCACTGCTCTATAGGTATATCTTTCACTATCATTTTTTTTTTTTTGAGACAGAGTCTCGCTCTGCTGCCCAAGCTGGAGTGCAGTGGCATGATCTCGGCTCACTGCAACCTCCTCCTCCTGGGTTCAAGATATTCTCCTGCCTCAGCCTCCCTAGTAGTTGGGCACGTGCCACTACACCTGGCTAATTTTTGTATTTTTATTAGAGATGGGGTTTCGCCAGGTTGGCCAGGCTGGTCTCGAACTCTTGGCCTTAAGTGATCTGCACACCTTAGCCTCCCAAAGTGTTGGGATTACAGTGGTGAGCCACCGCTCCCAGCCTCACTATCAAATTCTTCTAGAACAAAAAATTACAAAGCTTTCTGAGCCAGAGCCTTGCTTTCTAACTTGATCCCACTTAGGACTTACGTAATATTTGTTGAATCAAGTTGGAAAATTAAGAATCATTATAACTTTCCAATAATACTCATAATTCTAAAAATAATTCATTTGGGTCCTAAAACAAAAACTGCTTTAAGAAGTTTTAGCACAACATTTTAAGCTAATATAACCATGAATAATAGAAATTATCTTGTCTTTATTGTAGCATCCATCTAGGAAAGTGTTTTACAAAGATCCTCTTGAGGTAAATCTGCAATTTCACATTTTCAAACAAATTTCCTATTCAAGTAAATGACTAAATACACGTACACATGATTGTGTACAAGCAGTTTCTTAGTTGACAATAAAGTCACCGAATTTAGGTTATATATAAAAGGTAGTGTTGATGTCTCATTATTATTCAGATGATGATTTGGGATAGTAAGTATTTTTTATAACTTCCAATTTATTTTGGCAGGCCTGGAAAATGCAATCATATGCTAACGTCCACATCAGATGTGCTTATCCTCCTGTCTCTTTTGTTTCTTCTTGATATTCTCTCCAGACTGCTCTCTCTCCAGTTAAGCTTTAGAGGTTGCTCTTCCTCTGACTCTGCTCTTACATGAGTCCCCTGGCTCTGCTCACCCACACCCAGAGTTTCCAAACACCATTTTCATGCCAATACCTCTCAAATCTAAATTTCCACGCAAATTTCAAATCTTAACACTCGTTTAAGATTATAAAGTCTGGAAAAGAATTCTGAAAGGAAGGTTCATTAACTGTAAAACAATTGTTTACTTTTTTGTAAAAAGTAAAAAAATAAGTGTAGTTTAGAACTTTTATCATTCTGGCACAACATGCGATCATTTTTTTTCATTGATTGCTTTATTTCTCCAAACACTGTGTCATAATTTTACTGGTAATTTGATTTTAGGGTAAAGACACTTGAGTTTAGATTTATTAATATTGATATCAATGGAGTTTCATGTGATATTTTCCCCTAAAACAATGCTGTCAACATAATTGGAATTAAAAAGTTCAAATTAGGTTTATATCCTAAAATAATAATTATTTCTTTGGAGAGCCCATTTTAAGCTATGTATAGTAAAACTGGCAATTAAAAACTTAAAGTATGTTTTTCAGACTTCATATGCAGTTAGTATATTACACAGCTGTTATTTCTATGCTGTGATTTTTGTCAGGATGAAAATATCATGTTCACTTAGATCATTCCATAGCAAATTTACAATCTGTAATTTAATAATCCTGCCACCTTCCTTTTCATGTTTGATAATCAATAAGTTACAAAATAATACTATTGAGTACAATTTTAAATTCATAATATAGTTAATGACCAGTACAAAAATATATGTTTATTGCATTTAATTTACAGACAAGTTAAGAATCAAATTTCGTTTCAAATCCTTGGTGTCAAAGAAATCGTCTATTGTTGGGAAGTAGCTCCTGTGATTTTTGCTTGGGAAAGAACCCAAGCATATGCAGTGACTGTGTAAATGGAACCTGGAATTCCATCCCATTTCCTTTTTCATGTCAGAGCAAATGTTAGACATTTTGGTTCAGAGAATGTGATCATTAAACGTCTGGGTTTCTGACTATGCACCTTAGATAGCCTGGCTACTTTATTGAGGACAAGGTGACAGAAAAGGTTGTCAATTTTGTCAGCATTTGCTCTTTAGCTGTCATCATTCTTCCATATGAAGGGAATCATATGGAAATCTGGGGGAGTCTGTTCTTCTCCCAGAGAGCCATGAACAAAAAGTAGTTCATTTACTATTTCCTTCAACACTGATATGTTTTATTGACACAAATTGGGGAGGCCATCCCCAGCAGACAGGCCTCCTAACCAGTTCTGACATGAAGAATATCTTTAAGATAATCTGCAGAGAAGAGTGAACATAGTAGGCCAGAGACTGATATCTTTAGAAAGGCCTACTTGGAAAATTTTGCAGTTGGTTAGCATCTGGGAACTTGACTTCTCTCCATTCCCTAACTGGTAAGTGTCATTCACCATGCCCAGACTCTTTGTACAAACAATATGATTTATGCTGAATATCTGCTTCCCTTCTGAGAGTATGGAGTTTTGGTATGTCCTAGGCAGAGGATGCTTATGTGACCAGCCCCCAGTAAAACTAAGTGCTGAGTATCTGATGGGCTTGTATGGGCAGAATTAATGTACACGTTACTAATTTTGTGTATGTGTGTGTGACTAGAAAAAAAGAGCACACAGAAATGTTGTCCTTCATGGGAGGGATAAACATAAAAAATCCTGTGCCTAAATTTCTCCAGACTCTGCTTGTATCTTTTTCCTTAGCTGATCCTGTTACGAACTTTTTGCCATAATAAGCCACAGATGTGAACACTATGGATATGCCAGATCCTGTGAGCACTTCTATTGAATTACCAAATGCGTACACGTATTTGGGGGACTTCTAAAACACATCTAAACTCTAAATTGAAGCAGATAGCTTTCAAAATTTAACGGGCTTATATTCAGCCATTTTGTACAGAAGATAACCTATTAGTTATCTTGAGGTATATTTGAAAATATTTTATAATATGGAAAATCATATAAATAGTAGAAAATCGCTTGGAGAAAACCATTCTTTGACATTTATTTTCAGTGCTTATCAATGCACATGTTTTTACACAGTCTTTATATTTTGTATCCTATTCTTTTTGATTTATCATTGCATGATGACCATAAGCTAAGTTATAAGCATATGCGGAGTTTAAAACACAGTGAATTATCAAAGTAATAATAAGTAACAATGAGATGCTATAAGTTTGTAAACTATGTTGATGCATGGAAATAATTATATATCAAATATTAAGTGAAAATGTTGAGAAAATAAAAGCATATACATTGAATATAGCTAAGAAAATTGCATCATATAGTAATAACTTAATACACTATCTGCAGATTATATTCTTGATTCTCAAAATAAACTTATAAGGTTTGTATGTTATTCTTATTTTATAAATGAGGAAAGAAAGGCCTAGAAAAATAAATGACTTATTACAAATAAATATATTGCCAGGCAGGACTTGAACCCTGGTGTCCTGATTCCAAATTCAGGGCTCATTAGTCATCACAGCTGCCTCTATGCAGAGTCACAAAATTTAGAAATGGTTTCAATGTGATATAAGACAGTTAAATATTCACTAGGTCCTCATTTTTTCTCTTTTAAATAGCATATATTCACATCAATGATAATTTTTAAAATTACATTTTAAAACACTACCAAATGTTTTATAGAAAGTAATCTTTCTTGGGAGTACAGGAATAATTATTAATAAGAGAGGTTTATGAAGGGGAGCTAAATTGATAAACATTAGAGAAAAAGTTGAAATAAAAAGCCAATGGTTTTACAAGCAGGAGGTGCACATGCTCAGCAGTGAGCTGCTGACATTGTGTTAAGTCAGGATTCAGCTGCTTTTGGAAGGGCAAGCAGCCAAAAGCTCTCTGCAGGGATAAGTCTGCCAATTGCTGTACAAACAAATCTTCAAAGATGAAATAAAAACCTCTTGGTGTCTATTAGAATATTGTTTAGAAACAAATCAAATATTTAGCAATTGAACCAGAATATCTTATCATCAGTGGCCTACTAGGAATCAGAAATAGCATGAATGAATGTAGGAATGGCTCAAAAGGAAGTGGCAGGGATGAGAATAATGAATTTTGTCCCTCTTCTTCGTCAGTCAAAGGAAGATCTTGTGACTATCTGATGGTGACTTTCAATAAGTACCCACTGGCCATATCCCAAAAAAGCCAAACTGAAAAGTAGCACCTCTACTTCCTCATGTGCAGAAACAACTTGTCAGTATTTGGATCTTCAAGAAAAGAAACTCCCTAAAAATATCGGCTCCAGCCATATGGAATATTCAGATATGGCCAGACTGAAGAACATATGATGCATGAAACAGAAACAGAAAGAAGAGAAAGGCATGTGAACACACTCTATAATTTCTTTGAGCATGTGGTTGAGGACTGAGCCCTGAGTCTAGCTGGCCAGAAGCCAAGCTCTATCACTTACTAGTTGAATGACCTTAGGCAGGATACTTTAGTTAATGTCTCCGAGGGTCAGTTTACTCATCTTCAGAATAAATAATAATACTTACCTCACAGGTATTGTTAAATGAAGTTATGAATATTGGGAATTTTCACAGTGCCTGAGATATAGTAAATGTTAATGAATACTAACCAATGTCGTATTATTACGGTATTCATATTATCAGGCTTCAAAGTAAGTTATCAGTTATTAAAATTAAGATTAAAACACTATATTTATATGCTTTTTTCTATATACTGTACTTATTTTGCAAATGATGGCAGCTAGAATCTGAATAATATGACTCTGAGATTCATAAGATGATGATAAATTATCTTCTGGCTTTAGTTATGTGGGAGAGCAATGTGGCTGTATAATACTTATACAATATCAAAGGTGAAATGAAACAGCCAAATTTAAACAGTGTGTCCCACCCCTGGTATAAAACAGGGTATCAAAAGTAGTAGTTTATTCTGCAATTGTTCTATTCTTACAGGAGAACTTAGCCTGAGTCCACTGGTTTCATCATCTTTCATAGACCTTGCCTGCTGAGCTGCCCAATGATTGACATCTGTTCTATGGCCCATGGAAGTATGGCTGGCTTAATGGGCATGCAAACCTATGCAACCACTTAAAAGGGTCCCATACATTATGTTGCTGGCCCGGCCTGGCATAAAAGGAATATCTACCTTGCACGTGGGAATTAGGTCAGTATATCTTTATTACCTTGGCATCATTATTGGTATCTTTGCTTAAATAAAATAAAGAACTTTAATAGTTATTTTTGGTAGACAGGAACATAAAAAGTTCTACAGTCAGTAAATAAAGGAACAGGAAGCAATGTTATCAAAGCCTTATTGGAAAATAAGAATCAAAACTGAGTTATTTCCTATTATTAGTCTATTAAGCCCAATATTGAGTCAATCACAATAAGTATCTAGATACAATTTTTATAATGTCCTAACATGCATTCATTATATTATCAAAGTTTGCAAGTTCTTAATGTTCTATAAATGTTTTTCCTCAATTTATTTGAGGCTATTTCAATTTTATACTTACTATGAAAATAGCATATATATATTTTAAATATATATATATATATATATATATATATATATATATGTTTAAAAAATGACATAGCTTGCCTGGTGTGTGGTCACACATGCTGTATAGCTAATTGAAGATCATGATGAAGTGTCCACATGAAGACCAATAATGGAAATAGTATGGAAAAAACAACTCCTTATATCTCCCAAAATTGTTATTTTAAGAACATCTTATATTGAGATACTACCTTTCTCTGGGAAACATATACGTCTAAATAGTTTCTTCTATGTTCCTACAGAAGTAAAATTAGTTCTATTAGGTCAGATTACTCTGGGGGAGTCATAAATAAATATACTAATTTAAATAGTAGAGATAATTCAACTCTATTATTCTGTTATTTTTAATATTATCAAAACATTCATACATTAAATATGAAGTCATATTATGTTAGAATAATGATCATCCTTTGTAATTAAAAAGAAATAAAGTACAAAATTCATACAAATGGGCTATAATTTAACAGCAGACTCATATGAGAAAAACACAGCCATTACTTTTTGTAAGAATGAAGAGATATTCATATTTAGAAAAGATTATTCAATATTACTTATATGACAACCATATTCATAAAACACTTCCTTCATACAGAGGTACTATTATGCAATTTATATGCACCACACAATTCCTCTTTCTTCCCAAATACATGCTTCTTCCTTGGTGTTTAGAACATCTGTTAATGGTACCACTATTCTGTCATTTCCCAAATTCAAAACATCGGGAAAGTCTAGATCTCTCTCTTCTCCAAGTGTCATGCATTAAGGCTGTGAACAGATCGTGGATTTTTTTACAGTGAAGCAGTCTTCGGCATATCTCTACTAAGCACCTCAGCAAATCACCTACTGCAATCTCATCACTTAAAAGGAAGAAACTAAGGCCTAGAGAGGTGAACTTTTTACCTAGTGCTATTAACTAACACAGAAACTTACTAATACATCTAGGACCAGAATCAAGATTTGATGTTCCTCAAATCATTTTTCTTGCCACTCTCCCTCTGTTTCTGTTGATGGGAACTTTCCAACATTTCTCACATCAGCCTTAGAGCTTCCTCTATGGCTCTTGCCAATATTCATTCAGTAACATCCCTAATATCACCTCTGCAATCACACTACACACTATTGCTAGCTTCATGCTTCTGAGTTGCAGCTCTTATCACAACCAATCCACTGATACCAATTTTCAGACACCCTACTCTTTACAAAATCATGTCTAAGTACTTAGCTTGGCATTGATGGCCTTCTATGATTTACCCAAATCTATTTCCTGAACATTCATTGTCAGATGATCATTCAACAGGTATTTACTGAGTTCCTATTGCATATCAGATATGGTAAAATGCCAAAATAAGTAAATCTGGTCTATTAAAGATCTCCTTGCCTAATAGCTTTGTTTAATTACTTGTGCAAAGCAAATTGTTCCATAGGAGCAAATTTAATTATTTTATAGAGGTCTAGTCAGAAAAATTTTAAAAACACATAGCCAAATATACACTAGAAATATTTGTTTTGTATTGATGTCTGAAATACTGTAAGATAGATTCAGATTTAAATAATGTCAGTGATCTTCACAACTTGACTATCTATCCAAGTTCAAGTATGTAGTTTTATGTTTAATGGTCTTGCTCAACTGTACAGATCTATTAAATATCATTTAAGTAAAAAGAGAGATTAAAAGTTACTTTTCAGTAACAGCTTACCAGGATATATTATGTTGTCCGTGTTTCTTTGAGTCCGGCCTATCAGGACTGTGGTAAGATTTACCGTTGGTTTCTTAAGTGCGTTAATTTTCTTTGGCAATGATTTTACTTGCTTCTGAGACTTGACAACATTTGCCAGACTACCAGGCAACGATCGATCTATACAACAAGTTAAATTAGATAGGGCAGCTTGAGTTTTTATTTGAATTATTGGTTCCACAAATTCTGTTAGACCTTTCTGAAGAAGTTGAATATCTGGCAGGGAATGTTTTATCCACTTAGGGATGGTAGCATTCAGTTCTGACACACTTGTAGAAGCATTGTGACACATTGTTAAAACTTCGTGGAGAGTTTTGTTAAGCGAAAAGAAGTTAATTGAAAGATGGATAGATTTTGCTTCCAACGCCTTAAATCTGGAATTTAATACTTGCAGTTGAAGAGCCTGATCTCTCTCATTTGTAACTACACTGCCTTTTTTAACTGAAATATAATAAGGTATGAGCGTCTGGGTAACTTTAGACTCAATGTCTTGCAACCGAGTCTCAAAATTTTTGGAAATCTTGGTAGTTAAGAGTAGTTTTTCTTCCAAATGACTCATATTTTGCTGGTATTTTCTCACTTGGGAAGTGGTTTCATTGAACATTTGATACATCTTTTGGAAGTTGGACTGATTTAGTTTCTCATCTCTGGGAATACCTGCAAGGGTCTTGGCGACTTGCAAAACAAAGTTATATCTCTGATTGTCATTGACCAAAGTCTGAATAGAATCATTCAGACGGTGGAACTGAGGAATAAATGTCAAAATAGTTTCCATATCGGAGGTACATTTATGATGGATCTCACTATTATCCTTAATAGTACTTAAAGTCTCTTTTAGGGCATAGTTATCTTGAATGAAATCAATAGCATTATTTATAATAGTCATTGTCTTATTGAGGCCATCTTCCATTTCTAAGGCATATTCATTGATACGTCTTTCTAAGGCATCATCACGACCCTGTACTTCATTTCTAAGTAAGTTGTGTCTTTTTGTAAGTTCTTTGATAATAAAATTTAGACTATTGACAGCACTAGTCAGATTTTCTATCTTTTTCCTTATCACTATTGCTTCCTTTGGTTGTTCATATGTCATTGTCTGTCTGAGTGATGCTCCCTGCTCAAGCAAGGGTTGAAGGATCTCCATATCATAAGTCAAATCATTTAGTTGCTCACTCATTTTGTCCATCTTATTGTCCATTGGAAAGAGAACTTCAGCCAATGTTTGATTTAACACATGTAAATTCTCTTCTGTGTCCTTAAGTTGAAATTTAAAATCATTTCTGCATTTGGATAACATGTCTTCACATTCACCTCTGAGAGACTCTTTCTCCATCTCCAAAGAGACGGTGAGATTGTTAATCTTGCTTTCTTGAATGTGCAAATCTTCAAACATTTGCAGCATCATCAAACTCTGCTTCTTTATATTTTCATGTAAAGTAGACATGTACTCAGTGACATTATTGCTAACTGACTCAGCAGCTGGAGCATTCTTCTGGTCTGATACCTGTTCAGTTGATAAAAGCTGCTCATGTACTTCCTTCAATTTAGAAAGAGTTTTATTGAGGGATTCATAATACAGAATGCTTCTTGAGTGTTCCTGTTCTAGAGCACCTTCTAAATGAGTCTGCTTTACTTCTAGTTCTTTAATAGGCTTCTCACATGTAAGAGTCATTTCTTGCCTTACATTCACAATGTGATTCCTTAGTTCCACTATATCAGTCAAAGTGGGCCGATTCTCTTGCACCAAAACAAACTTTTGCTGGGCTGCTATTGAAACCACAGATTCATTAACTTTTTGAATTATTTGCCTGGTGCTTTCGAGGTCCTCTGATAGACTTGATACAGTCTTGAAGAGCTGTGCTACAGTCTCTTGCATGTCATTTTGAAAAATTTTAAATTGTTCTCTTACTATGTCTCTTATCAGTACATTAATGCTTTTGGATTTTAGACCTAGAGAAAGAAATAATTAATAATACATAGTTTTAATTATATGAGACTTTAAGCATCTCTAAAAGATAAAAAGTTTGAAATTAAACATTAATAACACGTAATAATAAAAATACCTCTTAACTACATTTACTTATAGAATTTTAAAAATTACTATAATTTATAAAAGGTGATCAATTCCTTGAATAATAAATCTGAGAGGAGATATCACTTGCAGAACATACTAGAACATACTAAAACCATAAAACTAAGGTCCTTTGGATGAAAGACATGACGGAACTACTACTGACTTCAGTAATACACCCTTGTGTACAATAATTCTAGGTCTAGTTTTCGTTTTGTGTGAAAATAAATGGCTTTGGGCTTTCTGCCTTAGTAAATAATACCTGGTGTTAGCTCATGACTGTGTTGTTAGGTTTCTACTAATTAAGTTGCAAAGCTTATGCTTTGGGCTTATAAAAGCTAATAAATTGACTGCAGGGAAAAACCTTAATGATATTCTCAAATGAGGAAAAATGAAGTAATATTCATAAGATTTAATAGTGTTTTATAATAACAATAAAATAATAATAATGAGATTTGGGGATTTCAAAATTAAGTCTTCCTCCAACGAAAATAGGAATTCAAGATACACCTGACATATTATTATAGTATGACATTAATTTTTAACAAAAAGAGAAGAGAAAACTTGCAAGTAATGAAACACATAGTACTATCTCAAATATTAGAAAACATTGGTTAATCATAAGCCATAATTGTGGTAGTCTCTAAATGTAGCATGAAAAAAAGGAACAGGAAAAGTGTACTGGACTATTCACAACTATTAATATTCATAACTATTTAGAATAGAAAATGACTATTTAAAATATAAAAAAACTTGCATACAAAGAAAACAGAAAAGATACATATACTAGAGATATATTTATAATATCTAGTGATGAAGTACACATAACTGGAAGATATGTCCATTCAAATTCAAAATATAATTAATATGGTTTGGCTGTGTCCCCACCCAAACCTCATCTTGAATGGTACCTCCCATAATCCCCACATGTTGTGAGAGAGACCCAGTGGAAGGTAATTGAATCACGGGGGTGGGTTTTTTCCCATGCTGTTCTCATGATAGTAAGTGAGTTCTCACAAGATCTGATGGTTTTATAAAGGGCAGTTCCCCTGCACATGCTGTCTTGCTTGTCGCCGTGTAAGATGTGGCTTTGCTCTTTCTTCACCTTCTGCCACGATTGTGAAGCTCCCCCAGCCATGTGGAACTGTGAGTCCATTAAACCTCTTTTTCTTTATAAATTACCCAGCTATTTCATAGCTGCATAAAAATGGACTAATATAGCTTTTACCAACAGAGTGGGGTATGGTTATCAATAGAGTGGGCTACTGCTATTAAGACACCTGAAAATGTGGAAGCGACTTTGGAACTGGGTAACGGGCAGAGGTGGGAACAGTTTGGAGGGCTCTGAAGAAGACGGGAATATGTCAGAAAATTTGGAGCTTCCTGGAGACTTGTCAAATGGTTTTGACCAAAAAGTCCAGGCTGAGATGGTCTCAGATGGAGATGAGGAACATATTGGGAACTGGAGCAAAGGTGATTCTTGATATGCTTTAGCAAAGAGACTGGTGGCATTTTGCCCCGCCCTAGAGATCTGTGGAACTTTGAACTTGAGAGAAATGATTTAGGATACCTGGCAGAAGAAATTTCTAAGCAGCAGAGAGTTCAAGATATCACTTGGGTGCTCTTAAAAGCATTCAGTTTTATTAATTCACAAAGATATGGCTTGGAATTGGAGCTTATGTTTAAAAGGGAAGCAGAGCATAAAAGTTCAAAAATTTGCAGGCTGATGATGAAATAGAAAAGAAAAAAAACCTCATTTTCTGAGGAGAAATTCAAGCTGGTGGCAGAAATTTGCATAAGTAATAAGCAGCCAAATGTTAACTGCCAAGACAATGGAGAAAATGCCTCCAGAGCATGTCAGAGGTCTTCCCAGCAGTGCCTCCCATCACCAGCTGGGAAGCCTAGGAGGAAAAAATAGTTTCATGGGGGCCTTGCTGCTTTGTGCTGTTTCAAGGCTTGGTGCTCTGTGTCCCAACCATGGCTAAAAGGGACCAATGTATAGTTCAGGCCATTGTTTCAGAGGGTGCAAGCCCCAAGCCTGTGGCTTACATGTGGTGTTGGGCTTGAAGGTGCAGAGAAGTCAAGGATTGAGGTTTGGGAACCTCCACCTAGATTGCAGAGAATGTATGAAAACACATGGATGTGCAGGCAGGGGCACAGCCTTCATAGAGAACCTCTGCTAGGGTGGTGCAGAAGGGAAATGTGGGGTGGGACCCCCCACACAGTGTCTCCACTTGGGCACTGCCTAGTGGAGCTGTGAGAAGAGGGCTACTCTCCTGCAGACCCCAGAATGGTAGATTCACTGACAGCTTGCACTGTGCATGAGAAAAAGCCACAGACCTTCAAAATCAGCCCATGGAAGCAGCTGGAAGAGAGGCTGTACCCTGCAAAGCCACAGGGATGGAGCTGCCCACCACCATGGGGACCCACCTCTTGCATCAGTGTGACCTGGATGTGAGATATGGAGTCAAAGGAGATCACTTCGGAGCTTTAATATTTGACTGCTCCACTGGATTTCGGACTTGCGTGAGGCCCGTAGCCCCTTTGTTATGGCCAATGTCTCCCATTTGGAATGGCTGTATTTACCCAATTCCTGTGCCTGCATTATATCTAGGAAGTAACTAATTTGCTTTTGATTTTACAGGTTCATAGACAGAAGGGACTTGCCTTGTCTCAGATGAGATTTCAGACTGTGGACTCTTGAGTTAATGCTGAAATGAATGAAGACTTTGGGGGACTGTTGGGAAGGCATGATTGGTTTTGAAATGTGAGGACATGAGATTTGGAAGGGGCCGGGGTGAAATAATATGGTTTGGCATTGTCCTGACCCAAATCTCATTTTGAATTGTAGCTTCCATAATACCCATGCATTGTGGGAGGGACCCAGTGGGAGATAAATTGAATCATGGGGAGGGATTTTTCCCATGCTGTTCTCATGATAGTGAATAAGTCTCACAAGATCTGATGGTTTTATAAAGGGCAGTTCCCCTGCACATGCTCTCTTGCCTGCCACCATGTAAGACGTGGCTTTGCTCCTTCTTCATCTTCTGCCTTGATTGTGAGGCCTCCCCAGCCATGTGGAACTGTGAGTCCATCAAACCTCTTTTTCTATATAAATTACCCTGTCTCAGGTTTTTTTAATAGCAATATGAAAATGGACTAACACAATAATCAATGACTATAATGTAAAATACACACAATACAATGCAAAGCATTTTAGACAGGAAAGTCTGTACAATGGGATATTGCCATCAATTATAGCTACTATGTAGTCTATTAAAGAAAGATCATCCTAGGATTAAAAAAATAGGCTCCACATGTCTCCATTTTGTAAGTAAGTTTTTAACATACATGAGGGACTTACATAAAAATATGTGAAAGAGTGATTATTAAAAATAGAATGATGTATTGTTTGAGCATCTTGATATTGACAATTTTGTACAAAAACGAAGCTGTAAATATGAAAATTTAGATGGATAAACATTTCTCTGGAAATCCTGCACCCTAAAGATCCATGTTGCCAGATGAAAATAAAATGGGAAAGATATTTTATTTTACTTTTTATAAACTTAGTGGAAACTAAAGTAAGTTTAAAAGTCCAAAGATCAATTTGTATGTAATGGAAAAAAGAAAACAAAACATGAAATATAGAATAGTAATCAATATGACACACAGCCTTAAAGTACTAAGGAAAGGCTAAATGAATTAGAAAAGACTAACTAGCCACAATTAAGATAAATTATACAGAAATAGTCCTAGCTTTTGTATCAAATAACATGGATAATCACACCAGAAAGGCTTTAAAGCATTTTTATCTTCTACATTTTGCTTAGCATTTAACCAGTCACCCATTTATTCAATAAATATTGATGAAATACATTCTATATGCTATATAGAGTAAGTAAAATTTAGAAAATTCGATTTCTGGTCTTACAAAAAAGAATATGTAAGTATCATTGAGTGTAAGGTACTATTCAATAGTAATATTAATATTACTCTTTCTATAAGAACATTTAGTCATTTCCCATTAGTTAAAAATGACTCTAATTCTCATGACATCAAAAGCTTGATGAAATATAATAAAATATTTAAGGTTCAGATTCGACCTTCTTTAAATTTATAATCTTACAGTTTTTCAAGATTGAAAGGTACAATAAAATTTAGGCTTTATTGAATTTATTAGTTGTGGACAATGACAATAAATGTTTAACTTCAGCAAACAAAAAACTACATGCCTAAAAGTCCTAATAAGAAAAACAATAAGCAAAAACTCAGCACAAAATCTTGATCAACATAATTGGGAGAAAAAACAATGAAAATGAGTAATGTAAATTACTTTAGCTGTTACACTTTAACACTTTTATGGAAAAATACTTTGAAGAAAGTGCAAAATCACAGCAATGTCTGAAAAGATATTAAACATATTATTAGCTTAAAAATGTGTTTTGGGATCAGAAGCTTTTCAGGTAACATTTCTACAATTTGTTACTAAACAAGCATCTGTACAAGAATCTGATTTCCCAAGAACATGTCAAAGTGCTTTATGTTAATAGTTGAGTGGGCACATCATTTTAATTCTGTTTGTTTCTGTTTCCTGTGACTCATATGCTTCCACTTTCTTAGAAGCATATTACATTTGGTGACTTACCAGATATATTTGATATCAGATACCTTAGCATTCACCTTCTGTAATTGTGAATGTATGGCCTTTTAATAACATTTAGGTACCTCTTAAGGTATCCACCTCCTCTTACGGAGTTGAGACATTTGATTTTCAACAGTTTCTATGGCTACTGTCAGATTACGCAGTGTTTTTCACCTTGGATGTAAAGTAAACTAGGGAGGAAGCTGTGGTTTCGCTAGGCAAGCACAGCACCTTGGAGGTGGGTTTAGTTTTTGTTTCCTGTAAGAATATTCATTAACTACAAGCCCTCTGGTTCTTATAATTAATGACTGTGCTCAGTACACAATTAATTCCTCCTATTGCGGAGGGAGTTTCATTATTAATGCTGTTGCTGTGAGTGTGTGATTTTTCTCCTGTGTCAGTGCCAGAATCTTTGTAGTAGGCTGGTAGGTCACAAAAAAACAGTTGACAGGCTAATTCTGTTAGGTCATGAGAACCAAATCTTGCTAAACAAATCTCATTCAGATGGTTATAGTCAATTACATACTGTTTCTATTTGACTTCTTTCTCATGCTGTCACTTCAGGGGGGAAAAATGTTTCCTTCTCATGCTCAGCATTGGTAAGGTTGGGCCATACCAGATATGTAGGACAGGGTCTTTCTTTTAGTGGTTGAGTAGCAGCAATTATTTATATGATTAAAAAACATAATTGTTGTTGAGCTATGTAAGCATCCATACTGGTAGATGATATATTAAATATCCACCTATTTATCTTTTTTAAATCAATAGAGAAAAGATAACTTGTGAATGATAAAAATTGGGTTGTACACTGAGTTTTTTAATGAATAAAGCAAAAGGAAAAAAAACAGTAATCCTGAAACTTGCAAACAGACAAGTTTCATACAATAAACCCGACTGGGACGCTCCCAGGAATCAAACTAACTGCATGCCTAGAACATCCTTGCCCTACCCGAAACCTTTCTGCATGGTTAACATCAATTGAGATGGTTTCTCTTTCTAGACGCTTTCCCTGGTCCCCTTAGATTGGATTTGTTGCAAGTGTCAAGTGGTCCCATTGTATCCTGTGTATAACACTATCATAACAATTACTCACTATACATAAATCTCTGTGGTAGGCAGAATAATACACACCCCTTTCCCCCAAGGTGTCCATATGCTAATTCCCTGTATCCATGAATATGTACCTTACATGGCAAAAGGGACTTGGCAACTGTGATTAAAGTTAAGCACCTTGAGATAGAGAGATTTTTCTGATTATCCAGGTAGGTCCAACGGAGTTACATAGTCAGAAAGATGCAGGGAGAACTCAACACAATGTAGCTGGCTTTAAAGATGGAGGATGATGAGTCAAGAAATGCAGTGGCTTCTAGAAGCTGGGAATGGGCCTCAGTTTACAGACATCAAGAAAACAGAGACCTCAGTCCTACAACTGCAAGAAAATGAATTCTGCCAGCATCTTGGATTAGCAGGAAATGGATTATCCTGTTGATCCTCCAGAAAGAAACATAGCCTGCTTTTAAGCCCACTGTTTGAAGAGCACAAAATTCAGGCAAAGCCTATTCACATATATAAATTATTATTCTTTAATATTAATAATAGCTGGAATGTTTTAGGATATATTTAATAGATTTTACACCATAACCTAGAAAATTTGGGGGATAATAATGCACTTCAGATTTATCCTCAATGTCTCCATCAATAGTATTGAGACAACCATGCAACTAGCTATCTTGATCCCCTAACTGCGTTTTTATTCTTGAAGTAGATAACACAATGGAAGTAAATTAATATGACTCACTTTAACTAAAAATGAATATGTTAGGCTATAGTTAGAGACATCATGTTTATCAACCAAATGGAATATTCAGTCAAAGACTTCAGTATATATAATAAAATGTAGATATTTCAAATTATTTCAGAATTTTAGTGAATTTATATCTCATTAAAAAAAATCTTTCTTAGGTTTCCATACCACCCAAACTAAAGCAAAGATCCCAAAGTGATGTAAGAAAAGAAAAATGAATCATTTGCTTTCTGTGTTACTGAATGAATATTTTATTTTATTTCATTTTTACCTTTTAGAAGAGATTGAAATTCTCTGCTTTTATCTTCGCTGACTTTTCCTTCTAGGGAGGAGTAAGTGTTCCTTACATCATTCACAGTCAAAGAAATATTGTCAATCTTCTTCTGCAGAAGAGTCAGTTTCATTGCCTGGTAGTTCACCTGATCAGTCATTTTTTGCATCACTTCTGCATATAGAAGAGAAAATTGAGACCATTAAAAAATATATTTTGACCCATAGTTGGTATCATACTGAATGGAGAAAAACTAAAACCCTTTCTTCTGTAAGCTGGAGCACAACAAAGATGCTCACTTTCACCACTATTTTTCAACAAAGCACTAGAAGCTCTAGCTAGAGCTATCAGACAAGACAAAGGAATAAAGGGCATTCAAATTAGAAAGGAAGGGGTCAAATTATCCTTCTCTGCAGATGATATGACCTTATATTTGGAAAAACCTGAAGACTCCACCAAAAAACTATTAGAATAGATAAATGAATTCAGTAAAATTGCAGGATACAAAACCAACATATGAAACTCAGTAGCATTTTTATATGCCAGCAGTGAATAATCTGAGAAAGAAAAAAAAGTAATCTCATTTACAATAGCCACACACAAAGTTAAATACATAAGGATTCAATTAACCAAAGAAGTGGAAGGTCACTATAATGAAAACTATAAAACACTAATGAAAGAAATTGAAGATATGCCGTGTTCATGAATTGGAAGAATAAATATTGTTAAAATGTCCATACTATCCAAAGCAACCTACAGATTCAATGCAATCCCTATCAAAACACTAATGACATTCTTCACAGAAATACAAAAAAAAAAATCCTAAAATTTATATGGAACAACAAAAGACCCAGAATAACCAAAGCTTACCTAAGCAAAAAGAACAACTGAAGGAACAACTGGAGGAATCATACTACCTGACTTCAAATTATAACACAGAGCTGTAGTAACCAAAACAGTATGGTACTGGCATAAAAATAGACAAATACACCAATGGAATAGAATAGAGAACCCAGAAACAAATCCATGTATCTACAGTGAGCTCATTTTCAACAAAGGTGCCAAAAACCAGGGAAAAGACAGTCTCTTTAATAAATGGTGCTGGGGAAATTGGATGTCCATATGCAGAATAATGACTCTAGACCTCTGTCTCTTACTATGCACAAAAATCAAATAAAAAAGGATTAGCTCTTTAAGTCTAAGACCTCAAAACATGAAACTACTATAAGAAAACATTGGAGAAAGTATCTAGGACATTTGGTCTAGGCAAAAATTTCTTGAGTAATACCCCACAACCACAGGCACTCAAAGCAAAAATGGACAGATGGGATCACATCAAGTTAAAAAGCTTCTGCACAGCAAAAGAAACAACCAACAAAGTCAAGACACAACCCACAGAATGAGAGAAAAATCTTTGCAAACCACCCATCTGACAAGGGACTAATAATCAAAATATAAAAGAAGGTCAAACAAGCCTATAGGAAAACACCCGATAATCCAATCAAAACAGGGCAAAAGATTTGAATATACATTTTTCAAAAGAAGACATACATATGGCAAACAGGCATATAAAAAGGTGCTTAACATAACTGATCATCAGAGAAACTCAAACCAAAACTACTATGCGATATCATCTCACCTCAGTTAAAATGGCTTATATCCAAAGGACAGGAAATAACAAATGCTGGCAAGGATATGGAGAAAGGGAACCCCCCCATACCCTGTTGGTAGGAATGTAAGTTAGTACAACCACTACGGAGAACAGTTTGGAGGTTCCTCAAAAACTAAAAATAGAGCTACCATATGATCTAGCAATCCCACTTCCACGTATACACACAAAAGAAAGGAAATCTGTATATCCAAGAAGTATCTGCACTCCCATGTATATTGCCAGCACTATTCACAATAGCCAAGATATGGAAGAAACATACATGACCATCAACAGATGAATGGATAAAGAAAATGTGGTATATATACACAATGGAGTATTATTCAGCCATAAAAAACAAAGCAACAACATGGATGGAACTGGAGATCGTTATGCTAAGGGAAATAAGCCAGGAACAGAAAGACAAGCATCGCATGTTCTCATGTATTTGTGGGATCTAAACATCAAAACAATTGAACTCAAGGAGATAGAGAGTACAAGGATGGTTATCAGAGGATGGGAAGGATAATGGCTGATTGGAGTGAGGTGGGGATGGTTCACCTCCCAGGTTCAAGCGATTCCCCTGCCTCAGCCTTCCCAGTAGCTGGGACTACAGGTGCATGCCACCACGTGTGGCTAATTTTTTTTATTTGAGTAGAGACAGGGTTTCACCATGTTGGCCAGGATGTTCTTGATCTCCTGACCTCGTGATCCACCCGCCTTGGCCTCCCAAAGTGTTGGGATTACAGGCGTGAGCCACCACACCCAGCCTAAAACCACTTAAATTTTTAATTAAAAATTAAATATATATATATATATTAAAAATATAAATAAAAATTTGTTTTTTATTTGGGTATAAAAAAATTGTTAGAGACTAAGTCACAGTGGCTCACGGCTGTAGTCCCAGCACTTTGGGAGGCTGAGGCAGGTGGATTGCTTTGGCCCAGAGATTCAAGACTAGCCTGGGCAACATGGCTAAACCTCGTCTCTACAAAAAAAAAAAAAAAAAAAAAAAAAATTAACCAGGCATGGTGGGACGTGCCTGTATTCCCAGCTGCTTGGGCACTGAGGCAGGAGGATTGGTTGAGCTCTGGAGATGGAGGCTGTAGTGATGCATGATCACTCCACTGCACTCCTGCCTGGGTGCAGACCCTGTCTCTAAAAATAAATAAATAAATAAATAATAAAAAAGAATAGCAAAAGAAAGAATGAATAAGATCTACTATTTAATAGCACAATGTGGTGACTATAGTCAATAATAATTTAATTGTACATTTTAAAATAACTAAGAGAATATAATTGGATTGTTTGTAACCGAAAGGATAAATGCTTGAGGGGATGGATACCTCATTCTCCATTATGTGATTATTACACATTGTGTACCTGTATCAAAACAGTACATACACCTACTATGTACCCACAAAAACTGAAAGTTAAATATATATATTTAAAAACACTTAATTTTTAATTTTTTATTTTTGAGACAGTCTCGCTCTGTCACCAGGCTGCAGTGCAGCGGCATGATCTTGGCTCACTGCAACCTCTGCCTCCCGGGTTCAAGCGATTCTCCTGCCTCAGCCTCCCAAGTAGCTAGGATTACAGGCACACACCACCACGTTAGACTAATTTTTTTTTATTTTAGTAGAGACGGGGTTTCACCATATAGGCCAGGATGTTTTCGATCTTCTCACCTCATGATCCACCCGCCTCGGCCTCCCAAATTGCTGGGATTATAGGCATAAGCCACTGTGCCCAGCTTAAAATCACTTAAATTTTTAATTAAAAATTAATATATATATATTTAAAAATCACTTAAATTTCATGATAGGTTTGAAGGTAATTCAAACAAACTATATTTGCAGGAATACATTTGAAAATACAAGACTATATTCATTCAGGAAATGGCAACTTGAATGTTAAGACTAAGTGTAGAAATTTGTAAAGAGTAGTATAATAGCTTAGATTTCTAAAATGTTTTAACTTTTCCCAGAATTTTCAGTGTTTTAAAAAAATTATTTCAAAGAGTTACTGTTACACTCTCAAAAAGAAACAAAGGGGCAGAAATCCAAAATAACTTGCTCGCAGTTACAGAGCTGATGGCTCATCTTCTGCTTCCAAATTCAATACCTCAGCATTTAAAATATGCAGCTAGATATATGTATGTAGTTGTAGCTATGTTCTGAGAATTTTATTGTTTACTGAGGTATTCGTTAATCAAAGATAAAGAGACTCATAATTTAGTTTGAATCACTTTATATAGCAATAATACTGTCTATCCCTTTACACATGTATTGCAGTAATTCAAGAATATTATGGTCTTTTATAAAGATACTGAATTTCAATCCCTTAAAAAATTACACCACCATTGTTAAGGGATATTCAGCTGCATTCTTAAAGACAGCCCTTTAAGTCACATTTCTTAATTGAGTGCCTTGTTTTGTATGACTAGATCCATGCCAAACACAGTGAATAGATGTTTTTAGCAGTAACCAACCTTATGTTTGTAAAAGCTAAAGTTTAGCCTAAAAGAAATGGCAAAAACTGATTAGAAAGATGGAAAAATATGTGACATGCCAACTTTGGATCAGCAGGAGGTTCTTGTTGATTCTTAGTCATAATCCCATTTCTTAGGGATCAGTACCCATTAAGCAACCTCTTATTAATGAATTGAAGAGAGCCTTCTTAGATCCCTTAAAAGAATAAGTTGTTCCTTCCATGTCAAGGGTCTTCCATAATGACACTCTTTGGAGAACAAAAGTTTGGTCTTATTTTGGAAAACTGTGGTTTCCTTACAACCTAGTATCACAGCATTTTTATTCTTTCTGTGTTTGCACACAAAGCTTCTGTAGTTATACATGGTCTTTTCAGTACCTATTATAGCTTATCCACAATTTCTCCCAACATCCAGCACCAGTAGAAAAGGACTGAGAAGTATGCTAATGTGTCACCATCAATCATTTGACAACTAAGAGATTTCTTGCTTGGAAGTTGTAATAAATAGCATTGACAATAATTGGGTCAGAGATGATAGTAATTACAATCTATGACCTGGGTCACCACAGCCTTGCTGCTGCTGCTGCTCAGCTACTCCTCTGCCAACAGCTGTATGACTTTCAGCCTGGTTGGTGTGTATCAAACTTTGCTGTTCCTGGGCTAGAAGGAAGCAGAAAGAGAAGAGAGACAGTTAAGCACTGGGACAGCCTCATTTTTTCCAGTCCTGAACAATAATTTGGCTGACATTCATTTTCCCGCGTACTGAAGCATGATGGTCGGGGATGATTGCAGAGTAAGCTGCTCCGCCCCCAACCATAGGGCAATGCAACACCACATTGGAGTGGGAAATGCAGGACTCTAATTCTGCTTGGAAAAAAAAATAAAATTATTCAGGCCTCCTTTCCGTGAAAAGGGATGGTAGTTTGGAGGAGCTGTGTAAACTAGCAGATGTAAATTGCCTGCATAATTGAGGGGATTTTTAAATCCGCTGTGTTAAAAGCTATAGCATTCTTATAAGTGGACTGCCACAAAGGCTGATTGTTTAACAAGGCAATTCCCAACTGGTGTCTACTTGGAAAAAAGGGAGAGCTACAGGTTCCTTACTAAAATAAAAATAGCTATTTCATTAATAGTGCCACTTAAATGGATTGTTTCCAGATTTTGATAGTCTCAAACTGGACTAAAAATAAAAGTAAACTATTGCAGGCACATTTCAAGCAAATCAACTGGTAAAGTCAGTGAAATTTCAATAGAAATTCTTGTAAAATAAATCTACTCTACTGAAGAATTTACCATGAATCAAGTAATATTTTAAATGGCAAGTAATAATTCCCATGAATCAAATAATATTTTAAATGGCAATATAGTTTTTCATTGGGGAAAACAATTTAGAGAAATGATCTATTTAAAATATTGAGTACAGGCCAGGTGCGGTGGCTCACACCTGTAATCCCAGCACTTTGGGAGGCTGAGGCAGGTGGATCACTTGAGGTCGGAGCTCAAGACCAGCCTGGCCAACATAGTGAAAGCCCGTCTCTACTAAAAATACAAAAATTAGTCAGATGTGGTGGCTCAGGTGCCTGTAATTCCAGCTACTTGGGAGGCTGAGGCAGGAGAGTCTATTGAACCCGGGAGGCGGAGGTTGCAGTGAGCCGAGATGGCATCACTGCACTCCAGCTGGGGGATAGAGCAGGACTCTGCCAATCAATCAATCAATCAATCAATCAATAATTAAAATAAAAATAAATAAAATAAAATATTGAGAACATCAAATAATATGGCTTTAATTTGCAGACTTCTAACAAACAAATTTATCCATTAAAGTCTGCATGACAGACATGAGGAAACAAGTGTTTTGTGTCTAGCCGTGCTTCTTCCCAGGTGAGTTTATGAACCAATGAAACTCTGCATCTCTGGCACATGTTAATTATGCTCCCTAAGCCATATGTGGCTTTGACTATAATACTTAAGCTTCTCTACTCCACAGGAAGTATATTTGGCATTAATTTGGGTGAGTCTATATTGTTAGATTGAATTTTGCATTGTTTTTCTTCAGGGCATTGAGCTAAATTAATGAATTTCCATTCATGTCCAAGATTTTTGTTTTGATGCTGTTTCTTTTTGATTTTCATTTCCTCTGCTGTATTCTATAAAGTCCTGTGTAATTGTTGACTTATCTGATGGACAAAAGCAATCTGCAGCTTGGGGAATAGTGTAATTATTTAGGGGATGGATTGCGTGGGGAAAAGTGTAAATCTTCTTCTAAGACCTAGCAATAAGGTTATTATAGTGTAAGTTTAAATTAATTCATACAGATACAACCATTTAATCATTGCATAAATTTTTATCACGATTCCTCCTTAAATGGTGTACTAAGGCATTTTATTCTGGCAGCTTAAATGTACATCCATCCAAGAGTATAACTAGAGAGTAAAGCAATGGTTCTCAGACTGGGGTCCTTTAATCAGCAGTATGAGCATCACCTGGAAACTTTTGGAGGTAGAACTTCTAGAGTCCCACCTTAGATCTATTAATTTAAATATGAATGTTAAGGATACTAACTTATAAATATTTATAGCAGTAAGAACAGGTGAATTTAACAGGATGAACAATGATCTTTTCATTTATTTGCTGCTTACCTTTTTGGCTAGATCATAGGAAAAAAAAAGAGCTGGTGCATTTGAAGGTAGTACCATAACTCAGTAGGCTGTGGATACTTTGTTAGGAAGGGAAGCATAATTATAGTGAAAGCAAAGATAATATTGTTTTGTTGAATACAAACAAGATTACTATTCGAATTTCCTTTTCTATCATTAACTTTTATTATAACACATATTTCTTTACATCCCATTAGAATACTGATTTTTTTCCTCGTAGATGGAAATGAGAAGTTCCTGTATACTTTGAAACATTAAGTGTCCATGTTCTTTCCACTCCCTCACCTGAGATTCTCATTCAGTAGCTCTATTTTGAGGAATGGGGCAGGTGCGTATTTAAAAAAAACAAACAAACAAAAAAAACAAAACTCTACAGGTGATTTCTATATATGGCCCTGGTTAGGAACACTAATTTTGAACAAATTGCTAAGCTTTCTACTTCTAAGAGGTAAATTCATTGTTATAATGCAGAAAATACTAGATATATTAATACTAAAATTGCAATCCAGAAATCAATCTTCATAGACTTTTAAACAGCATTCCTGTTAATAACAAAGGTGTGTGTTGAAGACAGATTTAATAAAGTTTAAGAAATGAAAACCTTGAGTCTCATACAATTCCTTAAAGAGTAAGTGAAGTGGGATGGGGGTGGAAGGTACCTTTCACAGCTTCCTGATTTCCTCATGCAGATATTACCATTCTTTCTATTGTTATAACACAAGATCCCTAAAGAGGCACTGTTAAGCATGGAAACATATGAAGAGTGTTTGTGCTGCCTTCACAGCAATCAAATCTACAGCCCAATGACAATTTTAGAATGTCTCAGAAATAAAATCACTTTCCACTCAAAAGCCAGACTGTTGCTCCTTACTCCCATCTAGCAACATTGCACATTCCCCAACTCCATGATTGTGTTTTGCCAGTATGTAGCAATGTGGTCGGCCAATTGTTAAAATATTGAAATATAATAAAGCCACAACTGTTGGCAAATATATAATGCTGAAGTCCAATAACTGACAAGCTGAGTTATACAAATTATAATATTAACTAATTACAAGTTAATCATGGATACATGATAAAGGATGTATTTTGTAGGATATGTGATGAATGGAATTCCTACTGTGGCAACATCTGAAAACTATTTTTCAGAATTAGCATTTTGTTGGACTGATGTCAGGCAGTGCATAGATTTTGTGAAACAGTCAGTGTTTTAGTAGAATGAACAGTTTATCATTGCTTATGATTTTTGTATTTGCTACAACTTCTGAATAGTTTGATGCTCAATTTATTTTACTTATTAGCATGTGCTAATTGTTCTAAATGCATAGTTATTTGATAATTATGGTCCAGAAGTTTATAGTAAATTATCAAAGACACTGAAAAAGAAACAAAAGTTTAACCAAATTTTAAAAGCATTTGTTTCGGGTATCTTGAGTATGAATTTTTTGAATTTTTGAATCTGAGAATAAAACAAAAATTGTATCACTTAGGAACCTAGTCCTAAATTAGGTAATGATACTCTGCAAACTCAGTTAGTCTGGAACATCTTTTAATATGTACAACATCTAAATAATACCAAATAATTATAAAAAATAAATTCAATATAAAATAAATAAGTTACATTTCTGGAATGAAAATCAACTTGATTTTCAATATTGGTAGATTATTTTTTCTTGCTAGGTAAACGTTGGATTCAAACAATCCTACAAATTTGTATAATATAGAAATAAAATTATTAGACTCATTTTTCATCATAATGGCATTCACCCACTATGTTAAAGATCGTTTGCAACCATGAATCATGAAGAAAATATTAAAAAATGTTATGAAATTAGCCTCACAAAATAAGTATTCCTAATAATAAAAATGTTCAATGAAATCAATTGAAGTAAAAAACTTAAAAAATACTTTATCCGATAATGTTAATAAAGTGCCCATAAAATAATAAAATATTTAGAAAAAATCAGAATTTTAAATTATTTCTTTTTTAAAATAATAAGAGCATTTAAAAATAATAGAGCATTTTAGAAAAGAAAAGTATTACAGAACTTACCTAATATAATAATTCTGATCTAGGAATATCATTGCAAATGAGTTTTATGATACTGCTTTTTGTAAGACAACTTCTTAGAAAACTTAAAAGTCAACTTAATAAAATTTAAAAGTATTATTAATGAAACTTGAACTCTTTCATATACAAGTATTTTCATAATTTTCCTAAAACGTAAAAATCAAGAATTTTAAAGCAGTTAATTTTTTTAAATCTCAGTAAATTAGAAGGAAAAACATCTTTAATGCTACATTAGTAATGTAGTAATACATATGAACACTTGAGAAAGGAATTTTCCACAAAATTTGTGTATGTGAAAATTTAATTTTTTACATAGGTGAAGCCTGTGCAATAATAGTGAAAAAGTAAACCAGGAGTTCCAGGCAAAGTTTTAGATAGACTTCTGCTTTTTAAAAATTTTGGCACTATAAGCTACTGTATTCAAATATTTCTGACTGAAAGTATAATGTGTTATCAAGTAAACACTTGAAATCTTTTCTAGATGAATTTCATATTTACTGCTATATATCAAATAAAGAAGAGACAATAAAAGTAGACGAGAGGGAGAGAGAAAGATGGAAAGAGAGATGGAAAGCAAGAGCACATGCTAAAAATTAAAATAATAAAAATTGGAAGAATATTTGGACTTCAAAGATAGCCTGTGATGTTACAGCTAAAAAGGCATTTTGTAAATTATATCAAGCCCTATGAATTCACTTTCATATAAATTGTGAAATTTAACATTTGGAAAATAGACTTTTTTAAAAAATAACTGATTTTCAGAGATGACACTCTAACAGAAATGCCAATCCTTTTTCAGCTTTACGAGAAAAGAAAATTCCCCTTATTAAACTGGAGATAGTTAAAAAACTGATCAAAGATAGTATAGATATAAAAATTTCATGTATTCTATAAATATACATTTGAAACTTATATATTCTATTTTAAATGAATATATATTAATTGAAATATATAGATGTATATATACTATTTGAAACAAAAATTAGTAAAAGGCCAATTATGTAAGAAAAAGATTTTCTAATGAATTGTTTGAAAATAAAATTTATATGACAAAACTAAAAAAATGCAATAAATATTCATTGATTTATGCTGCCAGATGAATTTGGCCTAATGACGTTAACAAAGCTCTATAAACTAATTAAATAGGATATTTAGATAAGAATTTTCATGATTTAGTTAATAATAAAGACAGTAAACATTCAAAAATACACACAGTATTTAAGTGCTGATAAAAATTGAATGCAATCACTTTTTATTCAGGAAAGCCCAATAGATAATTCAGCAGGAGGATAATTTAACTGATGTTAATAAAATTACAAACTTATTGAGACCTCATGTCACCCAGTGACTCTAAATCTGATGGGTAAATCATTAAAGGAGGTTGAGAGGGTTCCCTATATTAAATTACCTCTCTGACAAGGACATCATTTAGCTGGTATCATCCATGGCAAAAGAAAGACGACATCAATATAATTTGTAGAAATCAATAAATTGCTTAGAAATTATTAGAATGATATGAGTGATTTTTGGTATGATGTATATTACTTGGTCTGTAGTTTTAGACTGTATTATAGACAATGCTCTAATTTAAGAAAATAAAAAGTAATGCATTCTTAATTTTTGATTTATATACAATATTGACTGTGGCTGCTGCCCCTTCCCACCAATCATCATAATCAAGAGGCAGATTGGTTTGGGTGCTCGTGATCCCGAAGTGGAGAGACCTCAATACAAATCACAAAAGCATTTTACACAGGATTTATTTCCAGGGGTTCAAAATACTTTGGTAAAGCTTTATTATAAATAGTGACATGTTATTTTAAGTTGCATTTTATAATGGAATTGTAATCAGGTCTCTTAATTTTACTTCTTACAAAGTATTACATGCTGCATATTTAATATGAAGATTATAACAATGTTTTACTTAACATCCTTCAAAGACTGGGGAAACAAGGGCAAGGGCTCTCTCTGTCTCTTTCACACATACACACACACACAAACACACACACGAGGATGTGTGGGGGGATTTTAACTCTTCTAGGATCCTATTTGAGACTTCAGTAGGAGCATGTCATCAAGATATAGTTCCCTCCGTGCTACCCAGTCTAGGAAAGATCCTGAATGTTCAAGAAGTAAAAATTTACCTAGGTGAGAGGTAAAGTGTCAAGAATAGAAAGGAAGCAAATGAAGAGCATCAAAGTTTAATTTTCTATTGACCTCAGGGTCAAAAGAATTTGAGACATATATCATTCATGTGATCTTGGAAAATGTTATTCCATTAAAAAAGGGAATAGACAGTGATATGCGGGAGATAATCAATAGATTGAAAATAGTAACCAAAAACGTAAGAAAAAACTTTAAAATCAGTGAGAAGAAGGAGAGGAGAGAGTAAATTGAAAAGCTGTCAGAAAGAAAAAAAACAAGCAATTGAAAAAGATAAAAAATAAACATACATAGAAGTATCAAGTGAAAATCTAGTTTTCCTGCACACTAAAATTTGATGATTCATTCCTCAGTATATGAAAATAATATATATAAAATGAGAAAAATTAAGCTTTTTTCATATTTTATAGTTTCAACATCACTAATTTGAAAGAAAATGTGATTAACTTTTTTAGTATTAAATGTCAAAAATTAATGTAATTGCATGTGGGCACATGCATGTTCATAAAGTTTCCCATTTGCTTTTAGCAGCATTGTTAAATTTATTGTTTGTTTGTTTGTTTTTTTTTTTTCAGAATCTAAGTGAGAAAACTGTACTCCTGAATAAAAGAAACAACTATTAAGCATCACACAAAGATCCTTGAGATCCAATTGTCACATGAATCTCTTTGCTCCGGAATTCATTGGATGGAGTCCCTGCCAAGGCTGTTGAAAACTTGAAATGCCTGTTTTACAAATTCAATAGTTTATGTTATCTTTCCCTACCTTTGTTTGTTGACTGGAGTTCAGTACTTGCATTCATCCCAATTTATTACACGGGATTTAACCAGCCACAGCAAAGAGCTGATAGGATCTCTGACAGTGGAGTCAGTTACTCTCTTGTGATAAAGAGCCTCGTTGATTGATGCTCTTTTGTTTTTTCATTTAGCAATCTTTCTGTCTCCCCAAATGTATTCTCTATCACAAGGACTGCCACAGATTCTAGGTTTTCCAAGCAATCTGTCTTTCACTTGAGCACAGACCTTTGCTTTGTTCCATACAGGACAGATTTCTAAGTTTCTTTTTCTTGTTCCCTTCTAAGCGATAGGTACAGGGACAGAAGGACATTTATTTCAGTCAACTAAATTTTTAAAGATGTTTGTGCATTTCAGATTTTTTTAAAATGCAATATATTTTTTAAGTTGGATTCCTTTTTGCTTTTCTCCCAGGACAGTTACTCTCTTTTTTTCCCCTTGCAATGGAAGCCCTGACCTTGACAGATCAACGACTTAGAGAAGCAAGGTCAGCAAGTGTCTACAGTAGGAGCAACAGCTTCCTTATTAGATGCTTTTTTTTTTAATTAGATGGATTTTATTTGCAAGTTTTTTTTGTTTTCCTTCCAGACCTTTGAGCCATATGGAGGATGTCATTAATGGCAACTCAGTAATGAGGATGTTTGCTCTCTCTCACTCAGAACCAGAAAACCTTCCTGTGTGGCTTGAGGAGACAGATTTCCAGCTGATCCCTCAATATCAAGTGAAAACTTGCATGGTGAATGTTCGGTGTACATGTTAAGCTTTACTGAGATTTACTAGGTAAATTGAAGTAGGCAGTTTGGTGCAACAACCACTTATGGTACAGAGTGTTCTTCACTAAATGCATCATAATTTTATTGTGAAAGACTCTTAGAGGAGGTAATGTTCTTTCTCAAAGAAGAAAGCATTTGCTACTGCTGGGAAGAACTAGATATGCAAAACTACAGGGAATGCATTTTAAAATACTCCTGCTGGAGGAGCCCCATATTCAAATGTTAGTTACAGTAGCTCTTATATAATTTATTGCATGATTTCCCAGCATTTGTAAAACCAAATATTTTTTATATATTCATAACATATGGTAGGGGCCAGTTTATTTCAGCACTTGTACATGCTCACATTTTGTCAGCATTCATAATATCTGCAGTACAAAACAGAATGTTATAAGATACCTTTTTCCTATAAAGGATCTGATGATTAAAGCCACTGGATTTTTAAAAACAGATTTGCAAACAAGTTTTCTTCATCCTCTGTAATCTAACACTATTTGTATTTAAATCATTGCCCTTTGTGTCATTAAAGCAAGTCACACTTTCCTTGTTCCACTTCAGAATATTTTAGAGACATCTACTGGAAAAGAGCATTATTGCAAATTTTATAAAACAGATTTAAGTGTATGTTACTGCTGACTTTTTGAAAAGTATCTTGAATACCATATCACAAAATTAGGTCCTTTCTAAAGGCAAAACCCTTGTGCAAACTGTCTTTGATGACTCACTCCTCATTATGTACAAATATATATGTTTGAAAAGAGAAAATGACATAACAAATGTAAAACATATCAGAACTATTACTTTGATGTTGGACTTAGTACTCCTTTTTTCCCCCAATAAAGTTCTATTCATTTAGATTTTTAAAAATTGGTTTCCTTTTGATAATATGATGAATATTTTTATAAGGTAATCTAGAACTGTGGCTACCAGTATTTTGATTATCTGAGTTGCAGCTAAAGTACGTGCGTAGCAGATTAGCATATTGTGGAATAAAGAGAGAATCGCCATGTATTCTGAGTCACCACATCTCTTTCTAACAGTTTCGAGATGGATCCACATCCCCAAAGAAATAGAAAGAAGGGTATAAAAGAAAGAAATGGAAAGAAGGGTACAAAAGTGGGGGAGAAGAAGTAAAAAAGTACAATTGCAAACAGCTCCAATTTATTCCTGAGCTGGTGATATTCCCTGCATATTTAGAAGATCTTCCTACTGCAATTTGGTTAGCTATTAGAAGGGGAAAATGTGCAAATATCCTCCCAGGAGAGATATAATGAAGGTTCAAGGGACAAAGGACACAGTAGTTCCTAATACAACCAGTGCATCAATTGCACTAATAGAAAATTCAGCCATTGAAAATACAACTGCACTAAAAAGTGAAAAGTAGAATGGTCAAAGTATAGCAGAGAGCAACAGGAGGCTATTTTGGAATCAAAGCTATATTAGAATTGGTTGTATGACAATATGACACAATATGCATATCTGCCATTGGAACATTATTCCCATTGTAGATTTCCGTAGAAAAGAGGCCTTTCAATAACAGCTTAATCAGCAGATACCTGAATTATGAGTGGTTCCAATTACACTATTATGACAGAAGGTCATAATCAGAACTGTTCTGGGACATTTTTGCCACTGGAAATTAATACAATGATTTGTAAATCTAGTATAAAACCTATCCACAGGTTGCTTCTAATTAGGATATAAGGTGTCATTAGACAATCCCTAAACTACTTGAATTCATAAATATTTCATATCATACTTTGAAAAATGAGAGTGGCAGGACACAGTCTATATTTGAAACTGTCAGCTAGTCTTTGTTTCTTGTGTCTATATTTACAGTGATGTTCTGGTATTTTCTTCCTACATGTATGTAGTCCACCATAGTGATAAAGAATTGATTCCTAAGTATAAAAGGTTGAAGCACGGAGCAACAACGCTCTGATCAACTAGAGTCCATGACATTTCATTAGTAGACTTTTTCCCTGCCACATGTCTACTAATAAGATGTGTAATAACAACCTAAATTTCTAGAAATGTGCTCTGCAAACAAACTTGAATCATCAAGAAATAATGATGGAATTAATAATCTCATGATATCCTTCTTTGTAGAAGAAGAGAAATACAGATTTCAGAAACAGAATTCTAAATATTATCCAGAACTTTTAACAATTCACCAATTCTAGACACAAATATGTTTTACCATTGTGAGTATATATTTGTGTACTTCATGGAAATCAGAAATCAGGGCCATATTTGGGTCTTTTTAAAATATGCTAAATTCCTTATTTCCAAATATTTTCAGCATAGATTATATTTTATTTAAAAGTTTATTTTACCTGGTTATAAATGAAGTACATATTCATTCTGTAGTCTGAATATAAATTGAATTTTTATAACATCTTTGAAATTCAGGCCAGACCCAGAACAAATAGCATTATGGTGAAATTTGCCTGTAGATTCTCATTGTATAGGCTAGTAAAACCATAAATAATATCCCTAACTAAAATGCAGGATTCCTAGAGCTTTTGTATTATAATTTTCTTTTTCTTAATGTGAGCCATAACGGTTTCTCCACAGTTTTATTAATTTTTAATCACAGTCTCTTATACTGTTGATTGAATTCCCCACCACTGCTAATGGCCTTTCTTGTAATATTCATTCATTTAAAATATGTATGCTGATGCTGTATCTTATTTTTCAAAGGAAACCTGTTTAAAGCCAAAAGCAAAATAATAGTCACATGGATATTAGGCCACAGCGGGTTACCATGTGTTTGATCAGCCTTGCCACCAGAAAGTCCTTAAAACCTCAGCTGAAAAAAAAAAAATAGCTCCATTAGAATTTTGAAAAAGAGAGAATTATTCATGACATACCTTGTATGTCCTTTAATACTAAATTTCATTCATATGCACATTATTTCAAATAACTGAACTGGAACAAAACTAGATGGTAGTCTTATTTTTATATTGAGTCACTTCTAATAACACTTTATTTAAAAATTGAAAATTAGCATTCCTGATATTTTAATAAGGCATGCCTCTATAGCTTGTTGTTAAGAATAAGTAAGATCTTTCATCAGATTTCCATTTGCTCATCATATAAATCCAACATAAAAATGGGGGGAGAAGTTAAAGAATAGCTTATGAGATTTCAGAGTGTTATAAAAGCTACCAAGTTAGAAAGCTTAGAAAGTATAACAGTCCTAGGAGTTTGGCTACATGTTAATTTACCTTGGTTCAAAAGGGGAAATGCTATTCTTTTCTTCAATAGAATCAGTTTCTTATTGTTCAGAATTGTGATTATTAATATTAGAGTGTACCTCTTAGTTGACATTTCGGCCCACTGTATCCAGGACAGCACCTCCAATCCAATGAGGTGACAATTTTATGTTGCATCCTATAGACAGGATTGGATATCTTCTGAGATCTAGAGAGTTGAGCAATTGGAGGGAAATCGATTATTTGTTTCACATTAAATTATCAGCCGGAATAATAAATGTAAAGTTTTTGGGGCAATGCCTACAATATAACAAGCATTTATTTAGTATCGGCTGTTATAATCATAATATTCATCATCAATATTATTGCCTAACTTAGGTTTCTTTCAATACATTACAAAAAGCATTACTAGTTATGGTATTTGGTATTTTAAATTGATACCTGCCATTGACTTTCTAAAGATATTATAGCTTTTCTCTTGATAATACTTCTTGCTAAATCAATGTTAAAATTTATTTTCATTCCAATTTTAAAGTTATATGGAGATAATTTATTCTACTTCAATTCATATGATTTCCTATATTGTTATATTTAAAAAGATCTGTATTTCCTCCAGATCAGTATCAAACAACTTGAAACAAATTGGATATTCGTGATCTAATTGAAATTATGACAACCACTATCATTTTCCCATGGAATTTTTCATCTTCAAAGTTTTGAAATTATGCTACCTACTATTTTTGTCATATAGTATTTCTCTGAGAGAGAGAGAGAAGGACAGAGAGAGAGAAGGGATGTAATATGAGGAAATTTTATTTTTAAGATGAAACCATAGAACAGCAGAAAAGAAATATGGAAACTATAGCAGTTCAACACAACAATCAATATAGTGACTGCTACTAAATTGTGAGCTCTGTGTGTTTGTAAATGTAAGTCATAAGTACAATTTGGCCATATTAGTCTTACCCATGTGACTTTAATATTTAGTTGCTATTTATCAAATGGGTCTGTAAAATGGGTACATACTATCTTGCTTAATTTTCATTTTAGTTTATGATGAAGGCATTATTATTATCCTCATTTCCTGACGAGGAATCCAAAGAACAGAGAGATGAAATAACTCTCTCAAAGTCCCATATCTAAAAGGGGTAGAGCTGTGATTTTAGCCCATGTCATGTGGGCTAGCCTCCCTTGTTATTATCCTGGAGTTTGCCACGTACAACTATATGGAGACAACAGTCACCTACATGGGTAAACCGTGAACATGTGGAGCAATAGCATTATAACAGACCGGCCTTTAGAGACTTACGTTTCAGTTTCTGCTATAACATGACAGGTAACCGAGTATGTCTGAGGCTATTTGTCAGTTGCAAAATGAGCTACAAGATCCCTTCCATCTGAAAAGCATGCTAATCATTTACCCTCATTTATTTCACTAAATCATTCTGTCTAGTGAAATACTATCTGCACTCTCATAGTTAAAGCTAAGTAGGAAGCAAAGCAATTTGGAAAGGGACTGTATATAGAGTTTGTAAGGATGAGCTCAGGCAGTTAGTTGAACTATTGTTGGGGTCAATGTTCCTGCTTTGGCAAACTGAATATCTGTTGCATGTAGCTCAGACATAATAAAAGAAAAAGTGGCAATTATGACACGAGTATTAAAAATAGCGAATGAATGCACCCACTCAGAAGGCATAAAAAAGATAAGATTCGAGAATAAAGATAAATACTTATGGTTTGTTTAAAGAAAAGAAAAAAATAAAAAGAGCTCACCTTGAATCCAGAAGGGCAGTATGCTAGGGGCTACTGTGGTAAATTTTTTATTACTAAAGAATTAGCAATGCATTCTTTGTGTCTCGTATTGGCAAGGAAATTGTCACAAAGAGAGTGAGGGCTGAAAACAGAACTAGAGTTCAGCTCTCCCAAATCCCTAAGATGTGCTTAGGTCTCTGGACCATGAACCTTAGCTATTCCTCAAGGGACTAAGAAACACCTTGATTTTATGTATCCTTATTGTGCACTGTTCCAGATTGCCATGTGTCAGATTCATTGCCTGAGTTATTTGTATGACTATTTGCATAACATTAGCCATCATGGCCTGAATAACAATTGGAGTTTTTATTGCAGGCTCTTTGGAAACACCCCCAGCTGAGCTACGGTGACTACATGAATTCAGATAATTTATCAATTACTCAGCCCCATCTTTTAGGACAACAGCATAGACTTTTTTAAAAAATGATAATCAAATGACATGGCTAATTACAATAGACACAAGAAGAAAAGCTTCACCTAGCTGCTTTTCCATGCATAATTGTAACTAGAAGCTCTCCTAATTTTAGAATATGAACCAAGTTATAAACTTCTTTCTGACCTAGCATGAAGAGAAAATAATAAATCTTCAAAACTGTGCATGAAATTCATAAGCAATTAAGGACAGGATTGTTGACCAGATATAGAGTAAAAGTAATAGTGATAGTAAAAATAGAAATAAGCATGATAATTAACATTTATTGAATGCTTATAAGGCACAAGGCACTAGGCTAAATATAGTATTGCATTATCTCAAATGATTCTAAAAATGACCATATGAGGCAAATATTATTAGTGTCTGCATTTTCACTTACTAAAGCATAATGTGACTACCATCCCCTGACCCTACTATGTATTATGTACCTTGCATGAATAACATTATATATTCCCGGCTATAATTTATTATGGTGCAAAAACAGTGGCTATTTTCAAGAAATATTACATACCTCTGAGGACAGGATCCACCGGTCCAGCCACAAGGTCCTTTCCCACCTGGGACATAAGTGACCTGGTTGTCCAATATCACTGTGGGAGATAACCTGGTATGTACATAAGCACACCAATTCCTAAAGAAGATCATAATTGTTAGGGAAAAAACTGTTGTCAAAAAAGAATTCTTTTCATCAAAATTATTTTCACAGACAAACATTTATTTTTGCCATACTATAGATCAGAAACCTTGTAAGATTGCTATTTAGCTTTAAAATATTTAAATATAAGAGAAAATAACTTATTACTGTATTGCTGTACTCAGGGACTATAAGGAAACACTAACAAGATCAAAATAAAGAAAAGAATAAATCAAAGCTAAAATGAGAAACCTGCAGAGTTTAGCTATAAGATAAATCAAAATGCAAGAATGCTCTTGTAGCAAATATTAATATTAGTACTGAGATAAAAAACTCAGATCCGGGTCCATTACTTTAAATTATGTGCAGTAAAGCATAAGTAAATAAGTAAATAAATGGTTTCAAAATCAAAAAAGAAGAGAAAGAACTGTTATTAGCTGCAGTGGATATGATTGTAACCAAACAAAATGCAAAATGGTCTAGATGCCGATTATTATAATTAAAAAGACAATTCAGCAATGTAATCAAATATAAATGTTTATGAGTTAATACAATACTAATTTATATTAATTCAATCACAAAATTAAGATCAGTTACATTTCTCTGTACCAACAACAAATTAAAAAAGACACTATTAACAGTAGCAAAAAATAACAACAAGAATAATGTACCTAAGAATAAATTCAGCAAAAGAAGTGTTAGATTTAATAAGTAAAAATTTTAAACTTTATTGAAAAGTTTTAAAGAAAAAGCCAATGAATCATGTTAATTAATGGGAAACCCAATGCAAATATGTCAATTTTCCTCAAATTAATCTTCAAATTCTATGAATTTTCACAACAAATCTTAGCTTGATATAAGGAGTTAAATGAGCTTATTCTATAATTTTTCATATAATAAACTAAAAACATAAATTTCAGAGAATTTTGTCCCTGGCTATATAAACTATCAGATTTACCTTTTATGGCAAAAATTATAAATCTGGACAAGATGTATAAAGCAACAGTTTTCAGATGTTGGGCAGTAGACAATGCAGTGATATGATTCTTGAGGGAAAATATGTGATGTTAGCTCCACATTCAATCTAGTTTTGTGCCTGGGAACAATTTTCAAACTGCATCACAGAAGGATGGATTCCAGAAAAGACACCAAGTAAAGAAAATAGAGATCTGAGTTTGGGGATACTAGGATGGTTAAAAAATGTGTTAAAGATTAATAAAATGAGGGGGCCAGACAGAAATATCATTTTAAAAGTCAATATAGGGGTGCCCTTGAATCTTGGACTGAATACTATTTTGTGCTTGCAAACAACAAAATCCAGACACTAATAACATAGTATCCACAATGCCCAGCATGAAAAGCAGACAAAACTAACTATGAGAAAAAGCAGCAAAACAGGACCAGTATATGGAGTAAAAATCCAGTAAATAGAAAAAAAAAAAACAAAAAAACAGGCATGACATAGAAGTTGGAATTAGCAACCCATGACTTTAAAACAATTAACCATTAAATAGAACGAGAAGTATACAATATGTGAATTAAAAATGGACTGAATGTTCTTAACAGAAATTTGGACACTTTAGAAAGGAAGACCAATAAACTCGAAGATAAGGAATAGAAACCAGCCAAACTGAAGTACAGAGAAAAAAATTCAAAAACATAAATGAGCAAAACTGAAGTGGTCCTAAGATTGGGCAGAATAAACATGAGAAGAAAAAAAGGGAAAATTTCCTAAAATTGTTTTTTAAAAAAATCAACCCTCATATCTAAGAAGCTTAATGAATTCCAAGAGGATAAACACAAAGTAAAACCTCACTTAAGTACATCATACACAAATTCCAGAAAACAACACATAAAAAGAAAAAAAGATATGTTAATTGCTTGATTTAATCATTCCACATTGTCATTCATCTAAGGCAGAGAAATTGAGCTCTACAGAACTTATTGTGTTCTTTTGAATGTGATGTTTAAAATTTCAGGCCCCTTAAAGAAGTAAGAAGACATGCTGGCACATGTTGTTAAATCACTGGTGACAATTGAGGCAAAAATAATGTAAAACAAAGAACTGGAAAAAGCAAGAAATAAAAATAAAAAGATTTAAAATTGAGAGGACCACAATAAAGGGATCTTTAAAAAATTAACTAGATTCCTCATGCAAATGCAATGATGATCCTAATTACTGAGACTGACTCACTTCAACAGAAGCACAATTAAATTGTCACATGAACATTCTCTGAATGACTGTGGAGGAGGGAGTGTGGGGCAGAAACAACACAAGTATCACCGTCACTACATGCTCAGGGCTTTGAAAAGAAAAAAAGTATATTCATTCTCTGTGAGGCAAAATGATAGTGTCACCTGGCAGAGACCTTTTGAAATCCTAAATATTAAAACAATCTCATGACTAAAATAGTTGAGGAGACAAAGAAGCAGATCAGCAGACTGCTCATGGCCCAGCAATCTTTGATCCAGGGTAAATTAGAAGAACTATCCACAGCAAAAGAGCCCCTGGTGTGACTCATAATTAGGTTTATGCTACCAATGAAATAAGCTCATTAAGGGATATTAAAAATGTAAATATAATTTTAAAGCCAAATTATCTGAAAATGTAGGTTTAAAAATAGAAAATGAAGCATGGCAAAATGGTGATGGGCAGTTTAAAGGCAAATGCAATGATCCCAGACAAGCATTTTGCTTAAACCTAGTAATCCTTTGTACCTTTCTAGACTGATTATGGTGGATGGAGAGCAGTTACTTTGAAGTGTTTAGTTTTCCATGGGGTCATAACCTTCCATCCAGCAGACCACATTTGGGATTCTCTTTCAGGGTAATAACTCTGTTGCTTTTGTGCAGCAACATGTACTGAAAAAAAGCTTGTATTGATTCTTTGGATTTTCCAAGTTAATAGGTAAAAGGTTTGTTCTAGGGAAAAGCAGACATCTTTGGTTATGAGCAAATGCCTAGCTTGTTGAACATATAAAATAGAGAGGGGAAAGGATTCTATTATGATTCATAAAACTCAAAGACTTGTGGATAATGAACTAAGAGAAGGCATCATAAATAAACAGTTTACTATATTTTTTATTTTGACATTTTAGAAACTCAGTCTTTCAGGAAACTAGTGAAAAGACTAATGTAAAAAACTTCCATTAATTGACTAAATAATGGCCCAGTCATACCAATTCTTATCCTGAACTGAGTGAGAGAGGACTGAAGCAAAAAAGATGGCTTTAAATAATGACCACACAGAATATTTTCCCAAGAAATAAAGGGATAATCTAAGAACTAACATTATTCAGTTATACTAGTTCTTAGAACCCAGATGAATAGATTGCTTGTCATCTAATTCAAAAGAAGCTAAATACTTAAACTTTCATATTAATAAACTGTGGCTTTAATTGACACAATAGTATGAAAATACCAAGTCCTGAGGATGTTCATTAGAAGTCAAGGTAAGACAATAAAATCGCCACCATAAACCAAGCCAATGGTATATAATTTTCTTTGAGAAGTGGGAGAAGATTTTGTTTCTGGGGGAGACTTTATGGATTGAATGACCTTTGTTTCCCATCATGCCCTTTAACGTAGAGATTTAAAAGGGAACAAGAGGAAAACAAAATAGGACAAGACAGACATAGCTGCTTCTGAAAATTAACATTCTCTTGAAGAAATAAGATTATCAGGTGACTCTAGTAATAACCCCTCACACCTCACCTAATACCCACCCATGCGTCTCTGACTTGAGAAAGTATAAGATCTCAAATGTCCATTTCTTTACCTTGTACTTAAAAATGACTACAGTTTGCAAATGACAACATATGAATACATTAATGAATTCATAAATGCTTCAGGGGAAGAACTAAGTCTCTGGTGGGACTTAATTTAGAGAGAAAAATATTGATCCCTCATAAGAGAATAATTTATTCATATTATTCCTAATTTACCTCATGAAAAATACTATCATCTTAATTATAAGATTATTATTGCATGAAAATACAACCAAACAAAACTTAACTGTTTGACCATTACTAATGGCAAAATTATGAAATAATAGTGTTGTA
This sequence comes from Homo sapiens, assembly GCF_000001405.40. Classification (NCBI taxonomy): domain Eukaryota; kingdom Metazoa; phylum Chordata; class Mammalia; order Primates; family Hominidae; genus Homo; species Homo sapiens. The sequence goes on along the minus strand of NC_000004.12, from coordinate 89,905,211 downwards.
CATCATTTTACACTAAACTCCTGAAGTCCATAGTGATAAAATCCCCACCCAATTCAGTGATAAGTGGGAAAACATATCCTAAATATATAAAAGTTAGTCTTATATTTTTTTATAAGTGTTTACTACTTTTTGCAAATCCAACCTGCTCATCTCATTCTCAACTCTATAAGTCTGACATATGTGGATAATTCCCCCCCTCTCTTTTTAAAAAATATCACTTAGTAAAAAATAATTTGTTTAAAGAGGAAAATAGAATTTTAAAGGTAACTATATCTTAACAAACCTATTTTTATTGGTGTCAATAATCAGGGAAAAAATTCAGCTAAACCCTCATTTGTTTTAACGGTTCAATTATTAAGTCCCTGAGGAAAACTATGTGTCCTAAGTCAATAAAAATAGAACAGATTTTAGATAGCAACACTAGTCAGAGTACATGTTCTCCCTAGCACACTACCCTAATTTGAGAACGTCATTAAAATATCATGTATCACAATAACAGAAAGGTAGAGGCAACTCAAGTGTCCATTGACAGATGAATGGAAAAAGAAAATCACACACACAAACACACACAGACACACACGCACACTCAAAATGGGGTATTATTCAACCTTTGAAAAGGAAGAACCTTGAAAATACTATGCTAAGTGAAATAAACAAGACACAAAAGGACAAATATTGTACAGTTTCACTTATATGATGTACTTAAGTGGTTAAATTCATAGAGACAGAAAATAGAATGGTGATTGCTAGGGATGGTAGGGAGGGTGCAATGGGAAGTTATTATTTAATGGGTACAGAGCTTCAGTTTGGGAAGATGAAAACGTTCCAGAAATAGATGGCAGTGATGACTGCAAAACAATGTGAACCTACTTAAAGCCACAGAACTGTACATTTAAAGACGGATAGAATGGTAAATTTTTTAATGTATATTTTACCACAATAAAAATAAATAAATACATACATACTGAAAAAAATGCCACACAAAGTGAAAAATAATAATTTTGCATATCTCTTGTCAAAATCAGAGAGAGTTGAAGAAGAAAAAGTAAGAAATAGAGCAAAGGATGAAAAAATAGGACAAAATAACAGGAAAGGGGAAAAGAAGAGAGGAGGAGGGGAATGAGGCATTTCTGGCAACATCAGAGTTGTCATCAATACATGCTTTTTTCACCTCGTAGATCAGAATTAGAAGGTCATTTCTGATGATGAAGTTCTGCCTGCTGGACAAGATTTTTATTCTCCTTTTAACTGCACACATAGGTGTGAATAAAGAAGAGAGTGTATTTCTGTGCCTAGAGTTTTTTTTTTTTTTTTCTAATCCTGAATTAGGCAAGGGTGAGGGGTGGGGGCAGTGGGCACATCTGCATAAGCAAAAGAAAATAAAGAAAAATTTCCCTGAAAAATTTCCCATAACATAGTTCGTCGCTGGAGCCAGGCTACCTGCTTTTAGATCTTGACTCCACAATTTATAGCCATGACTTTGTCTGGCAAAAGTGACTACCTCATCTACGAAGCATCTACAATAATATTATCTACCTCACACGATTGTCGTGAGACTAAATGTTTTAAGAAAAGTAAAATATTTGCTGCTATCACTGCTTATAATAATTAAATGATTCAGAGTTAAGCGGGATTTTTTTTGAAGAGGATATATATAATATGGCCTCAATATTTTTTTGCCTCAGATACAAAGAAACACAGCTCCTGTTTTGCTTCTTTAATGACCTGATAAATTCATCTTAACCATAATTGCTTGTATGTTTCAAGTCAATAATTTCCATAAAGCCAATACAGAAGACCATCATCATCATTTATGTTCAATTCAGATGAAGCTTGCCTCTCAGGAAAAAAAAAAAAACTTTCAGAATGTCTCTACAGTCTTAAGAAGTCATGAACATAAATACTTCCAAAGTGTTATAGAATCTATTTATTGAAATCTTTATTTTTTCCAATCAAGCTAAAAAGAGAAGTTTTTAATCAAATTATTAATTTGAAAGACTATAATTTGCATGTAGTTCACTAGTCATAAATGAGAAAATAATTCAAGGGAAATATATACATGAAAAAAGATAATAAAAATGGGAAGCAATAATTTACACTTAGTGAAAAGATTCTTGATATGTAAATTATATTTAAATAAAGCATTAGACATTTGATATTTAGCTTTGGCTAAAAGTCCAAAAGACAAGTTCATCTCAATATTTATTTCCTTAAGAAAATCATTGTTTTATTTCCTAACAACAAAATAATTTATGTTTGTGGTTCTTTTATTGTAGTGTATCTTTCTATGCTTAATCCTTTTACAAAATTTTATATAGTATTCAAACTGAGATAAAAATATCAGTTTTGTAAAAGAATCATATAAATAAATTGATATTTAAAATAATTTTTTGAAAAGCAATTATGCAAAGCTCAGATTATGGGGAATTTTAGATACTTTGATTTATGGTTAATTTAGACTTTAAGAAGAAACCCTTTTTTATGTACCAACTTTTGCAATTAAAATATTTTTGTCAGGCATAATTTTATTTGCTTTCTGTAGTGGGAACAGTGTGGTGAATGTAATTGAGTTTTCAATGATAGATGACTGTAGAGTGCCTCACAGCCACAAATTACTGTCTATACACAATATTGTCAGTGTAAAGTTTTATGAGAACGAGCCGAATGTATGGCCATCACAGGATGTACATAGAGTTTGCTGTTTGGATCCAACCTATTTTCCAATTTTAAAGTGAAAAGTAGTATATTTTTAAAGTGGTACATCGAATTAAATATGTATAACATATATATTTTATAAGTAATGATTCTTAAAGTCAACCTTTAATATAACCTTTTCCATAAATTTGTTTTTTTTCTCTTCTATAACTTATTTATTTATTTTTTTTATTATACTTTAAGTTTTAGGGTACATGTGCACATTGTGCAGGTTAGTTACATATGTATACATGTGCCATGCTGGTGCGCTGCACCCACTAACTTGTCATCTAGCATTAGATATATCTCCCAATGCTATCCCTCCCCCCTCCCCCTACCCCACCACAGTCCCCAGAGTGTGATATTCCCCTTCCTGTGGGAATTGAACATACTCTTTTTTACCTAATTTTATTTTTTGTTTCCCCCTTCCTTGCAAAACTGTGACTTGAGCATATTCCGGGCGTTGTAAACTGTTTCTATTCCAGTAGGTGTCAGGCTTTCCCAGCGTGCAGACCACAAAGGCAGGCTAACGGATGCCGTGATGCAGAATTCTATGCTTAATCCAGTTCCTGTAAACTGACTCTCTTAGCATTTACCCCCAAATAATAAATTTAAAATTATAGTTTTATATTCAGAAAAGCAGAAGTTGTGCGAATACAAAAAGTTCCCACTTAATTATTAGGAATATATAAGCACTCATTAAATTCTAGCATATGAAATGCAATATATATTTATAGTAACAGAGTAGAAACAGCAAAGTAATGAAATAAAGAATGTGATTAATGGGTAAAAGTTGATAGAGAATATACTTTATGTAGTGTTTATTTCACTGGCAGTAATGTAATAGAGACATCTATTTCACAAAGATATAAGAAAATACCCTTTAGTATAATGGTTTCTCTTTAGAATTTAACAGCATGTAAGAATAACCCATTTTGGATGTTATTAGGCCTAATAATAACTTTGAAAACAACACAAGAATTTAGCTGATCAGATAATTCACTTCTAAAACCTATTCATAATTCACACAAAATGAGCAGAAAAAAAGTATGACAGCAGAATTTAATGGTTAATTTTTGTAATTTTCTAATTTGTCATTAAACTCAGAATAATTTTCTAATTTGTCATTAAACTCAGAAATAATAATTTCTAATTTTCTAATTTGTCATTAAACTCAGAAAAAAAATCCCTCTTTTTCTGCATATTCAAATTTTACCTTCCTCTGACCCTTCTCATTAACATGTTAACATATGTATGAGCCCTCTGTATTTAAAATGAAATATTATAAGAAACAAACACAAAACATAAATAACTGGACTAGCCTTGGCTTCTGACCACTTTCTCCTTTTTTTTTTTTTTTTTTCATAAAAGCCCTCCTTAATTGAGTTGGCTTTAATGGCTCTCTTTTGCCTTCCTTCATACCTCAATTCTCTCAGGCCAGAGCATGGTGCTCACTAAACTGAAATAGTGGCTATTTTTCAGTCCTCATTTTGTCTTTTTCAGCAGCATTTCACACTGTTGATCACTTACCTCCTTCTTAAAATATTTTCTTCCTTTGCTCTATGACACCACACTTTTATAGATTCCTTCCTAACTTCTCTGGTCACCCCATTTAAGACTGTATTGTTGGCATCCACCACTATCAGTTCATCAAATATTAGAGATTCTCCGTTCATAATTCAAGGTCCTTCTTTCTTTCAGTATCATCCACATTCATGACTTAATACATTTCTATATACCAATGCTTTGCCAAATTTATATCTCTAGCCTTGATCTCCCCTCTGGATGCCAAACCCATCTAATAATCCATGATTTTACAGAGTTTTATTGAGCTCTTTCTATGCACCTGGCACTGTTCTAGGCAGCAAATAGAGTAGTAATAAGACAGGCAAGGTCCCTGTTTTCATGGGATGTATTGCGGAAAGACATAAAATACACCATTGTCTATATAAGTAGAATAATTTCAAATAATTCCTACAAAGAAAAAAATAAAGGTGACAAAATAAGGAATGGCAAGTGAGAGCATAGTTAACTTTACATTGGGTGGTAAGAGAAGGTCCCTTTGAAGAGGTGACATTAAAGCTGGAGGTGCAAGTGGAAGAGGAGTCCTTCATTATAAAAGGTGCAGAAAGAGCATTCCAGCAAGAGCAAAAAAAGTTTCCTTTGAGATATTAACTTGACATGTTCAATAAACAGAAAGGAAGCCAGTGTGGCTGGAGGAAATGAAGTGCAGTGATCTTGGAGTGTGACAATGAATGAAAGACCAAATTTCACACATTTTAAGACATACATCTCTGAAATCAAGAATGTGTCTTGAAATCAAAGGCATTTTTCAGTCACTAGTGGTCAGATAGCAGTTGTTGCCATTGCCTTCGAAATACTTTACCAGTTTCATTTACATTTCCTTCTTAAGTTTGCAAAAGTGATATGTGACCAAAATCTCAAAGTCTGAAAGACAAATCTAAAAATTCAAATTAAGCAAGTATGATGTCATACTTTTCCTTCTGATTAGTACCTAAAATAATGTGTCACTTACAATAATGAAGACTTAATCCAGTGAAATGCATTAATCTGACTTAAATGTTCAAAAGATCCCTCCCTTTTGTGGATCATGGATTATGGTAGACAAGAGTGGAAAGAAGTGGACCAATTAGAACACTAGTGGTGAATAACGGCAAGTAGAAGATGGAGAGAAGTTGAGGTATTTGGGATGTATTAGAGGTGTAACAAGACTTTTTGATAGATTAGATAAAAACCAGAAGGGAGAGAAAAATGCCAAAGATCTATCCAAGGTTTCTAGTTATGGAACTAGCCATTCACTGATTTGGTAAAAATTAAGATACATGTGTACAGGGGTTGGGAATTGTGGGAAAAGCTAAGTAGGCAGTTAGATTGTATCATTACCTCATTTCACCTATTATCCTCTCAGGCAAGGTTTACTGACCCCATTCACAATTGGTAGGCCATTCCCCCCATTATACACTACAATTTCTTAAGCTTCATTCAGAATCAGCATTTGTGATTCACTGTTATTCCTCCTCTCACCTCTGCCACTGGGCTGTTGGTTCCATAAGGCAGGACATGTAGGAGTTCTTGTTCATTGTTTTACTCCCAGCACAAGCACAGTGCTTGGGACAGATAAGGTGTTCAGCAAATATTTGTTCAACATATAAATACACTAATCCTAATTTCTTATTTCCATCCTTCCTATTTCAAAGTGCTTGGTCATTGACTAACACCCACTCTGCCAGACAGGAAACCATAGGTCTATTTTGGCCAGGAGTTCCTGCAAGGCTAAAAAAAAAAAGAAGAAAAACTACAAGATGAAACAAAAATATGCCAGAATAATCCTGAATAATCTAGAAAAGAACCTGTAATAAACATAAATACGCCTTTTACTAAGAATTATTATAAAATTCCAAGAATGGTAGAAAAAAGAACAAATATGAGTTTATTCTAAATCAACCAGGTTTTTTTCATAAACAAATGCAAATATTTGGGAAGCTTTCTTCTTTATATTCACATATTAATCCTCATATTTCACATTCAGTATGATTAAATATTGATTGTGTACCTGCTATAAACCAGAGACTTTGCTAGCTCTGAAAATAAGTCCCTATATGCAAAGATACTACAAATTCATTATGATTATTATGTAGTGTCGTAAGTGCAGTGAACAGGGGAATTCAAAGAGACCTGTAGGAGCGATTAGAAAGGCCACCTAACTTCACCTGAGAAGGCTTCCTGGAGTTATTATTAGGTGTGAAAAGAGAGAACGATGGCAAAAGAGGGCCCATTGTTAGTCACAGGGGCAGACAGGGAAGAAAGGTGGGTTTAACAAACAGCACATATTGTACCAGAGAACCACTTATTTGAATAGCCGGAAGTGGCGGAAGATGAGGTTGGGGAGGTAGGCAGGAGGCAGATCTAGGATGGCATCGTGTGACTAACTGGGTAACAAATCTAGATTGTATTCTGGAGGCAACCAATAGCCTGTGAAGCCTCACGAGCTGGGAAGTGAACTGGTCACGCTTATCTTCCCACTTGTGATAAGAGACTGTACCTGCCAAGGGAGTGTAATGTAGGAGCTGAGAGCTACAACTCTAAAGCCAGCCAGCTTGGATTTGAGTCTTTGCCCTGAGCTTTGTTAGCCAAGTGACCTTAGGTAAGCTACTTAATCCCTCTGTAAAGAAATAATGATAAAAATCTTCCTCTTCTTTATGGAGTTATAGTAATGATTAAATGAGTGAATATATTCACTGACAATAGTAGAGTACTAGTAACAGATGCCATATAAGTGTTTGCTACTATTATTATTATTATTTGCCAATCAAATGAAAGTACGAAGGACTTCTTTTGACCATATCAAGGGTTTGCAGCAGCACTGTGTCCAAAAGTGAAGGACCTAGGCTTTTCTCTAATGCCATTGTCATTTGCATGGCCTAATGAGTAAGGAATCTTGGTAATGGAAAGGATTACTAAAAGAAAACCTCAGGCTCTCCAGGACCTCAAATAAGAGAATCCCTACATGCAGTTAGTACTTTTCTATAGAAGGAGTTTAAGATTATTTTTGTTAGAAAATCCAGAGGATAAAGTTCTGTTCAGCAAGTTATACCTTTAGTATCTTGTTTTCTCATAGCACATATTAACATTTTTTGAAGTCTGATAGGTATGTTAGTGTTTACTTTTTATAGGGAATATTCCTTAGACAGAGGAATTATTATTATTTTTTTAAATTCTGTGTAACCCAAAGCCTAGCACAGTGCTAGCACATGATGGGCAAATTATAAATATTCATCAAATTGTTCCCAACATTTGAAAGCAAGGACCTTGGATAACACAACTAGCATTTATTTAAAAACTAGTATTTATCAAACTATTAGTTACTAGTTCTAATTATGACACAACTGTATGCCACTTTCTATATGGTATGTAAAATTTAAATGCTATTTTAACTTGAATTGTCTCTTTTTTCTGTTTATTATATTTCCCTTTCTATTAAAAAATTCTGGCTGGGTGCGGTGGCTCACGCCTGTAATCCCAGCACTTTGGGAGGCTGAGGTGGGTGGATCATGAGGTCAAGAGATCAAGACCACCCTGGCCAACATGGTGAAACCCCATCTCTACTAAAAATACAAAAATTAGCTGGGTGTGATGGCACACCACCTGTAGTCCCAGCTACTCAGAAGGCTGAGGCAAGAGAATCGCTTGAACCTGGGAGTCGAAGATTGCAGTGAGCCGAGATTGTGCCACTGCACTCCAGCCTGGCAAGAGAGCGAGACTCCGTCTCAAAAAAAAAAAAATTCTTAGCTATAGCATCTCTGAAAAGCTCACAATCGTTTCCCATGAATGTCCAAGGGTTTTACTGTAATTAGTTTTTAAAAATTTAATTACAGCCTCTAATAAAATATGATTAACAGAAATGATGCATTCAAGTGATTTAGAAAAAGCTGTCAATAAATGACATTTCTGATTATTTAATAGATAAAATCCTGTTGTCCCCCAAAGTGAGAAAGATTAATGCATGTCTGTTAAATGTTTTTTTAATGGCAAATCTACTTGTCCCAAAGTGAACATATTGTAATCTGTACTATTTGTTTTACAGTAAGCTGGGATTGTTCCAAAGTCCACCAAGTGAATACTTTTTTAGTTACAATCAGATTTACTTATATATTTCGAAAAATTCTATAACTTTTGAAATATAGTGAAAAATAGACTTGAATAATAAATAATACAGAAATAAGTAAATTCATTGGCTAGAATTCTTACCAGTGTCTCTCTTCTTCTCACCTTTATATCAGCAACAGCTTTAACTAAATGTCTTTCACATAGCAGGTGTGTCAACTTCTATTTTTAACTTGGATTTTATTTTATTATTAGTAAGATATTTAACCCCATTTTGCTCCCAAGACATGTCTGGTGTCTTGACTTTGTATTATTACATGTAAAAACTATTTGTAAGTTTAGTTTTGCAATACTAAACTTCTAGTATTCCAAACATACAGATGACTCTGAGCATTAAATGAATAAAATATTGACCCACCCAGATATTTTTTCTTTGTTTATTTTGATTTGACTATCACTTCTTTTGAAAACCCTCTTTAACAACACTCCTTTAAATTTGTTTTATTTTATTTCAACCACTCAAATTGCTCTAACTTTAAATTAAAATTAATTTGAAAAATAAGTTTTCTGATTCATCATATTCATGATGGCAACACAACTCAAAATAATCATGGTACTAGCAAAATTTGAGTTGTTGAGCACCTATTCTGTGAGGAGCATGCATCTAAGCACTTTTCATTCATTTTTATCTGAACGAGAACCCTGCAAAGTTTTATTTTTATTGACATTCCTTGTATTAAATCTGTAGTTTCCATATGAAGAAACTGAGGTTCACAGACATCAACTGAGTTGCTCAAAATCATGGAACTAGACCATACTGAAGCCAGGATTGCACCCCTGGTGTGCTTGTTTCGATCTTTGACAACTGTTACTTTTTATAATACTGCTATTCCAATTTTCACATCTGTTCAAGCCCCAATTTTATTTATTTGTTTATTTTTGTCTTTCATATTGTGAATATGGTTGGGAACACAATCAACATATCCTTGAATTAAACTAACAGCCACCGTGGTGCTAGTTTGCTTGGCAATGACTATTCTAAGTAAAACTACCTCTATAAGTGAGTAGAAAAGTGAATGATTATTTCAGTTAAAACAAAATTGCTGCATTTTATTTCTTCATTTTTCCCTATTAGATAAATTAACAATAACTTTATCTAACTGAAATGGTGAAATTATAAATATGATCCAATTTCATCTTGAATTTGAAATAATTTTCTGGGAGTGAGGTAAATTTCACTTGCAATCTTCTAGACCTGATAGACAGAGAAAGAACAAAAAGAAAAGAAGATTTCTTACTTTCCTCTAGTTGTTTCGAAATTTGATTTTTGGTAGTCAGTTCTTTGGCTGGAACTGCTGTCACCCCGGCTGAGGTATGTTTCCCGTGGGGCTCGATTTCCCACGCCTCCAGTGCCTCCAACGCCTCCAATGCCTCCAGTGCCTCCAACTGTGTTTAGAGAAGTTGCTTGTTCATTTGACTTTCTGGCAAAGCTCTGAAGAAATTTCAGTGTAGAATTGGAAAGGACCACTGATTCTGCTCCAGGATTGAACTTGATGCTAGCGTTGGTTGGGAGGGTAAGATTCTGTAACTTGACCACTCCTTCTGCTTTCTCTGTGGATGTGAGAGTTTGATTTCTCACACCCTCAGCAGGTGCACTTGTTTCTGAGGGAGGCAGTGTTGATTTAAGAAGACTGTCTTCAGAAGTTCTTGCCTCTGGAGTTGTAGCTATCTCCGCCGACATGACCCGAGTGGTTGGCAGTATTTGCAAACTTTGTATTTTATTTGGAGGAACTGAAGCAGAAGGCATAGTCTTCTGAGAGTTCCCATCCTCAGGTATAGTCCAAGAATGCTTACTGTTGTTAAGCCCAATGCCCCCACTCCATAAACTAGAAAGAAGGACAAATAATCTTGCCCCCTTCATCTCAGTAGTTTGAAGCAAGGTAGCTCATGTGAAATTTGGGGACAAAATCCTTATGGCCTTTTTGATAGCTGCTTCCACACTGAATCTGCTAAGACTGAGTTTTGCCAGTTTGAGATGTGTAGAGGAAACAGGTTTCTGTGTTTTGTAGCGTACTCAGGAAGTTCGGTTTCCTGTTTCTGTAGGGTTTTTGTGATCTGTGACCTCTAGTGGGATGGCTCTATGGAAGTGCTGAAGGGTCTCTGACAAAGCTAAGGGTAAATGGGAAAGCACAGGCAATTATTATCAGGAAAACCCATGAAAAAATATGAAGTAACTTTCTTTTCCTGAGCACACCCTGGTTTCACGTTTCACTGATTTCAAAGAGAAATTTCAGGTTCACGATAGAGAGTGCAAAATTTTGTTGATATAGGCTGAATACAGTTTTAACATTTTGTTCTACTACATAAAGACACTGAGAAAAGTTTTTATGATACTTATCTGCTGTGCTCTATCCAGAAAGCTGCATTTTGTTCAAGTGTATATCCACATGCATACACATAATCAAAAGCTTGTTTACAGTGTCTCTATCCTTTCATATAGTACATATACTCTGAATTATAAAACATCTATCTACATACATGTATATCTTTCTATTTTTATAAATACACTTCAGCTGTATCATTACTTAATCTCAATGATTATAAGTAATAACAGAAAAGGAAAGCATAAGTAATTGAATTAGACAGGTATACCAGGAAGTCACTTTAAATTTTGCTCCTGGAACTTCTACCAGAGATACCCACTAATGGAATAAATAATCAGAATTTTACTTCCTTTATTTTCCAATCACGATTGTCTGATGGTTGGGGGTAACCAATATTTTACTAGTAAGGGATAGATGAAGAAAAAATGGAGTCACATAAAAATAAATTAAAATGGGATCATATAGAATGCTTTTATACATTTACTGTAGGACAAAATTATGCCAGTTGTAGGTAGCAGAGAACCAGATTTATCTGAGTTTTCTATGGGTTTTTTTCTGGTAGAGATGTTTCATGAGATTTATCATTTAATTTCTCCAGCAAATCTCTGATCCTCAGATTTCAATTAACCTCTTATCTATAAAATTTCATATCAGTCTGTTTAAATAGATATACAAACTAAGTTATAATAGTTCATTCATTCATTCACTCATTCATTTATTTATGTATTCATGAATTCAGTAGTTACATAACCCCTCATTCTGTGCAAAGCACTCTCTTATGTGCTAGGATTATAAGGAAAACAAAAATATTCTTTGCTGTCAATTTGCTAAATGTCTGTTATGTTATTTGGAAGCTAAATCCATGTGTAACCCATTTTTCTGTCAACTTCTGTGCCAGGCATTATGCTCTTGCTAAATATTCAGTCATTGATTGTTAAACTATTATTAGATTTTATTTTTTGTTATTAGATTATTAAGTTCCGTCTTTCAAAATTAGAGAATTGGAAATCTAATGCCTGCTTGGTTATGTTTTATTGTAGATATTTTCTCTAGTCCTTATTCCTGGACACAGTGCACCAGGATTTGAAATAAGGCCTAATTCTTCCTTGAGCTACTAACTACTTGGGATTAATATTTTTTTCTTCCCTCAATCTTTGCCATTTATTTCCGTAAGTGTATTGTTGACCTACTAGAGAGTATTTATTTAAACTAAGACAATCATCAGCAACCCCAATCGACTCTGATATGGAGTAAAAAGCATCCGTTTCTCAGATATACCACAGAACAATCCACAAACCTTGCCTTAGTAAAGGAGCAAAAAGGTCCAGCAGAGACAATCCAGGAAACGATTAGTTACTAAAAAGAGCAAAAGAGCAATGAAACTGCACAACTGTCACAATACAAACATGGTTTTCAGTAGAAAGAAAAAGGCTTTACAGTGTCTTTATCTGGAAAACACAGAAGAAACTAGCTTTGGCTTATGGAAGAGCAGTAATTTCATAAAATTTAGGAAAAATGTTCCTATTTATATTCAATTTTACACCAATTTTCCTAGCTTTAGTAAAAATAGATGAATGGACTGTCTTGAAGATTTACAAAACTGCCAAAATAATGACATTCACTGATTTTTTGTTTTCTTCTACAGTTTGAAAGACTGTTCAAACCTGGTCTGGCAAGTGAACTTTAGTGGTAAAATGTCACCCATTGGATCTATAACTGATAACAAATAGTTATCCAATGATAATAAAAACTGAACAAAGCTAAGCAATTCATTTAACCACTTATAAGGTATTGACCAATAATGACTTTTGCTCACCCCTATCCTAGCTTACAAGGGACCCTGAAATCAAAAGGCTAAAGGTTCTGTATCTCACTATTGATCTACTAAGCCATCTTGCACTTTAACTCCCCAGAGAATCTCAAGCTCATTTAGTGATTTTGGGTATATGGATCAGCCCTTAATTAGAGGTATAAAATACTCCAGAAATTGTCAGAGACCTTGTCTCAAATTCTTCTTTCTGAGACTAATTAATACTCATTAAATAACAATTAAGAAAAATAATATTGCTGAGATGACTGGCTGAAGAGTACTCAGTTTACTCATTCTTCTAGATACTATTATACTAGATACTAGATACTAAAATACTATTGTTGGATTAAACTATATCATCAGTTTTGTATAACTGGACCCTGTCATTTTGCTATACCTCCCATTTCCCACTTGGTTGTTCATATTAAATTATGTTTTACCATCTTGCCATTTGTTCACCATGAATATTTTATAAGATAAAAATCATGAAATTTATTATATTATGAGTTATCAGGAGATTTTTATGTCATTTTTCATTGTATCATAAACATAGGATTCACTATATACTGCAACATGGGTTGTCTGTAGGTGATGAGATAATGGGTTTGGTTCTTTTCCACCTTATAATGCATATGAATTAATTTTCTAACCACAAGAAAAAAAAACAAAAAAAGATTATTAAGTTAAAAGAAAATATAAATGTGAGTTAAAAGAGAATCTTAGATTGAGGAGTTCACTGTAGATGGTGCTGTGTACTATTCAAAGCATTTTTATAGCTGCAAGACTTATTCTTTGTAAAATGTTGGGGGTATGGGCTAACTTCCACCAGATTAATAGGATTTTTCAGCAGCTGTTTTCTTCATTTTTCACATGAGAAATTCCTATTTTCTTAAAATAGTTTAAAACATCCAAAATATGATTTCATTATTACCTTCCTCCATAAGACATATCTGTCAAAAAATAATAGAAGAAAACAAATTTTAGAGCTTTTTCAATTTAATGGTGTTTGAAAAATATTGAAAACCTGTCAAATTTACATGTGGACAAAGGGGGTTATCAACATACAGCAAAAGGGCTGGAGAAGAAGAGAAACTGATTTCTGCATGATTTTGATGAGTCGATGTGCTAGGTAAGTTAAATTTGGCATATTATTTAATTCTTACAAACATGTTAGGTAAGTATTCTATTCTTGTTATACTCATGGGAAGTTAAACTTAAAGAAGTTAAATAACTTCCTAGGGTAACACATTAGTAATTGTTAGAACAGATATTTATGCCCAATCCTGATTCAATAGGTATTCGGTAAATATTTGTTGAATCAGTGAACGAATAGATGAAGCTATGACCATACTCCTATGTATAGTGATAACAAATGGGTTGAAGAGGGCTCTATTTCACATTATTATAGCCACACAAAAGAAAAAAAAAGTAATCTAAATAAATATAATGAACTTGTTCCGGGAACACACCTTCAAAAGTCTTCTGAAATACCCATTCAGTCAGATTGCCTCCTGTAAGTTACTCCTAAAGAAAATTCAGAAAGCCCATTGTTTCTATATTATCTATTCTCAAAATAAATATGAGAAGGTTTATTTTGAAGCCGTCACAGCCACATTAGAATAATAAACCAAAGACTGGGAGTTGTAGAATAAAAGATAATGAAGCAGTAGTGATGCTAGAAAAATTTAAGATAAGCAAATAAATTGGAAGTAAGAAAATTTAGGTTTGAGTGGGCTGGCAGGAAAGGGAAGATGGACAATTAATGAATTATATAATTCTTAATATTAAGTGAGAGAAACATATTAGTTTATCAGGAAAAAAAAACAACATATTTGTCCTAATATTAAAATTTTAACTTTATAAGATCATAAGGAACATACTGATAAAGATGACCAAATGCCCCTCATGAGAAAATGAATGTAAGAATAGTTCACAAAACCATGTCATTGCTGATTTTATATTTCCCATTTACGCAGAACAGTACCCTTGAAGTGAAAGAGTTCAAAACGCATTTCTTTTGATCATTTTAGAAATAACCATATTTTCATTTTCTTAATGGAAAGCTGTATCTGGTTATCAAGTGATTATCATTAGTGACTTCCACTTCTGGAAATATGGAATAGACATATCTCCCTATTCCTTCTGCTAAGTACATCTGAAAATATGGACATTATATATAGAAAAAATAGAATAAGACTCTGAAGAGTGGAGAAAAGAAGGCAGAATGGCTAGGTGACCCAAGGAACAATGAAGCACTGAGTTCCCAAGTTTACTTTTGCCTCATTTCTGGGTACTGGAGAATTTGGCAAACTAGGAACGCCAATGGGCAGAAACAATAAAAGCCCCAATAAAAGCTCTCTTTAGGCCAAGGACTAGAGAATTGTCAGCCTGGAAAGAAGAGAAAGTTTTTAGAAAATAACCACTCTACTCCCACCATAGAGCACAGGGGAAAAAAAAAAAAAAAAGCAAAATAAAAGACAAAAGAACCCACCCTTGCCAGCAAAGCCTGAAGGGAGAATTAAACTTCCACCTCATGAGGTTATAACAAGGTGTCCCAACCCTCATTCTTCTGTTGGGGTAGTCTCAGAGAAGGCCAACAGAGGAGCCAGAAATTTCTTCATCAAGAAGCCTCGCCTGAGTACACTGCCATGGCTCTCCAAAAGCTGAGTGAAAAGAAAAGAATGAAAATCAGTAGCTTCAAGGCATGGCAGGTCTTCACTGAGTGACTTTGGAGGAAAGGTCCTCCAAAGGCTAGAGATAAGGCAAGAGGTTGGAAAGATGTCTTCCAAGGTATAGAAATGCAGGGGTGGGTCTGGAAAGAAATGAGAATGTACTAGAGATTGTTTTAAAAATGATTTTTCGTTGCAAGTAGAAGAAGATTTTTCATTGTAAAGTAGTGTTTTAATCATCCTCTCTTCACCCCATTGGTGAGGGAGGAATTCCCACCCTAAGGTTATAAGAATGGGTGAACACATGATGTCTAGTGTTGAATTGATGAGATTGGAAGCAGTTTATACATAAACTAAAGCCCTGGGGAAGAGGGCACAGCACATCACGCAGGGCCACACCAGGGCTGCACTCGGGAATACAGTGAACAATCAACAATGCTAGAAGGCGGACTTTGTAATATCAAGAGTATGAGGTGTCCCCTGGCTCCCACAGGCGGATGTGACTGGCTTGTTCGAATAATTCTGTGGGCTGGCAGGGAACTGAAACCTACTACTCAGGGATAAGCAGGAACTATGCCTGGTCCCTTTGATAAGGCAGTGGATACTGGGCTGGGGACCTTATCCACAAGAGCAGAGTGGGGAAGGAAACTTTTGGGTTAAGGCCCTCGACGCCCTCTGGTTTCAGATGTCAAGACGGCACATAATTCTGTGTCTTAATTTTAGGCCTCGTATCACACACAGTTCAGAGAGCTTTTTCTCTGTATTGTCAAGGATAAAGAGCTCTCCAGAGCTTTGCCTGTGCTCAGATCTCAAAATTAGTTGAAAGGAAAATCCTTATCACGTCCTCAAAGTATTTTAAGAGCGTGGTGAGTTAAAACTTAATGCTACAACAATTTTGGTTTATATTAGACCTAGCTCAATTACAAATTGGGATAACTCAGCTCCTACACTAAACGGCTAACAGAATAAGAATGTCCTTCTCTGAGGTAAATATTATTTACTATAGCCTTTATTATTCTTTTAAGCATAATGCCTCATACAATAAAAATTGTAAGACAAATAAAAAATAAGAAAATGTAATTCATGGTCAAGAGAGAAACCCTAAAAAAATCAAGAAAACACCAAGATATTGGAAGTATAAGAGAGAGAATTTCAAATAACTATGATAGAATGTGGTATTGAAGATGGGCAACATGTCTGAACAGAACGGGAATTTCAGCAGAGATAAAAATTATTTTTTAAAAAGTTGAATGAAAATGCCAGGAATAAGACATATCAAAAATGAAGAAGTCATTTGATAAGCTTGATAGCATACTGGAAATATCAAAGAAAATAAGCAGTTAGCTTGAAAATAGGTCAGAAGAGATTATCAAAACTGAAACACAAAAAAGATGAATATGTGAACGAAATACACAGTGTCGAGATCTGTGGAACAATTTCATATGGTTTAGCACACCTATAAATGGAGGGAATAAAGAAGAAAAGAGAGACTAAATAGGACAAAAGATAATTTTTTAAAGATTTATAGGTAAGAATTTTCCAAAATTGATGAGACACAATTGATGAGTTATCAGGAAAAAAAAAAACACGCCATATCACATAAAGGGGAACACAATTATAGCTAACTTTTCATTAAGTCAGATAGATGAGAGAGAGCAATAGAATTACATCTTTAAAGTGCTCAAAGGAAAAAAATAACTTGCCAACTTATAATTCTATATCTTGTAAAAATATCCTTCAAAAGTAAAGGGGAAATAAAGACATCTTTAATAGGTAAAACGTGAAAGAATTTGATTTCAGAAGACCCACCCTATAAGATATACTAGAGAAACCCATTGCGCTAAAGAGAAACTACAGAAAAATGGAGCTAGATTGACAAGAATGAATGGAGAGCATCAGAAAAGTTAAATATATATGTAAACAAATTTGATATTATCTTATCAATTAAAAAATGTAGATAATTGATATTATCTTTATTATAGAGTCAAAAAAGATGAATATGTGAACAAAATGAATAGTGTCTGAGATCTGTAGAACAATTTCATATGGTTCAACATACCTATAATTGGAGGAAATAAAGAAGAAGAGAGAGAGCATTATAATTTCATATGTAGTGTGAAATTATAATGAATTAAATTTTTTTTTAATTTGACTGTTGAGATAAAAATCACAGCAATAATGTATGGTGAGATTGATAGCATTTGTAGTTAAAATTCAAGACAGAGGAACACAAAGAGCCTGCAGGTGTGTAAATGGAATTACACAGTTATAAGTAGATTCTGATGTTATATGTGAGAAGTAAAATGTTATTTGAAAATATACTAGAATAAATTAAAATGCATATTTTAATTGTTAGAACAAAAATGTAGTTTAAAAATCAATGTAGGATTACAATGGAATATTTAGAAAATACTCACTTCATATAAAAAGGGCAAGGAAGGATGAAAGGAGACTCAGTTAAGAACACATAATACTGAATATAAATGTACCTAGTAGTGTTTCAAAATATGTGAAGCCAAAATCACTGTAAATGTGTGGATTTATTTCTGGGTTCTCTATTTTGTTCCATCAGTCTATGGGTCTGCTTTCATGCCAGCACCATCCTATTTTGGTTACTACAGCTCTGTAGTATAATTTGAAGACAGGTAATATGATTCCTCCAACTTTGTTCTTTTTGCTTAGAATTGCTTTGGCTATTCTGTATTTTTGGTGGTTTCATTTAAATTTTAGGATTTTTTTCTATTTCTGGAAGAATGTCATTGGTATTTTGATAGGGATTGCATTAAATCTGTAGATCGCTTTGGGTAGTGTGGACACTTTAACAATATTGATCCTTTGAATCCATGAACATGAGATATCTTCCCATTTTTGTGTCGCCTTCAACTGCTTTCATCAATAATTTTTGACAAAGGCTTCAAAAACATACACATGTTTTCTTTAATTTGTGGGAGCTAAAACATTTGCTCTCATGGAGGTAGAGAGTAGAATTTTGGTTATCACAGGCTGGGAAGGGTAGTGATGAGCAGGGGATAAAGAAAGGTTGGTTATTGGATACAAAATACAGTTAGATGGCAGAAATAAGATATAAGGTTCAGTAGCACAATAGGGTGACTATAGTTCACAATAGTTCATTGTATATTTCAAAATAACTAGAGAAGTGGATATGAAGTGTTCATAACACAAAGAAATGATAAACATTTCAGGTGATCAATATCCTAATTACCTTGATTTGATAATTAAACATTGTATGTTGTATCAAAATATCACATGTACTCCATAAGTATGTACAACCATTATGTAGCCATAAAAATAAAAAATAAAAAAATAAAAATCATGAAGCCAAGATGGACAGAATTAAAGGGAGAAATGGATAAATCTAATATCATAGTCAGAGATATTAACATCCTTCCTTTAGTAGACAGATATTCACATAATCAGCAATGATATAGAAGATTCGAACAAAATTATTAACCAATTGGACCTAATTGATATTCATAGAACATCCAACAACTACAGAACACATACTTTTTAAATGTACATGGAACCCTCATTGATACAGAATATGTTTTGGGTCATGAACTATTTCTCAGTAAGTTTCAAAGCATAAAAATCATAAAGAGAATATTCTATAAACACAAAACTGTTAAGTTACAATAAATAAAAGTAAGCGTTAAAAATCCCTAAATATTTTAAATGAAACAATATACTTCTAAATAATCCTCAGTCAAAGCAGCAATAACAGGGATGTCTTAAATATGTGTAACTGAATGATAATCAAAACATATCAAATTTTGTGCAATTTTGTCACTTGAAATACCTATCTTACAATAGAAGAAAGGGGCCAGGCACAGTGGTTCACGCTTGTAATCTTAGTACTTTGGGAGGCTGAGGCAGGCGGATTGTCTGAGCTCAGGAGTTTGAGACCAGCATGGGAAATGTGGCAAAACCCCACGTCTACTAAAATACAAAAAAAAAAAAAAAAATTAGCCAGGCATAGTTGCTAATAAAAAATAAAAAATAAAAAAAGAAGAAGAAAGGGATGATATTATTGAGGTATGCTTCCATTTTAAGTAATAGGTAAAAAAGATCAAAATTTTCCCAAAGTTAGTAGAAGGAAGAAATAGTGGAAATAATAGCAGAAATTAATGAAACAGAAAATGGGCAAAGAAGAAAGAAAAATAATTTTTGGAGTTGATTTTTTGTAAAAATTAATATGATTAATTGACCGTTAGCAAGACTAATCAAGAAAAACAAGCGAGAAGAGATAGTAACTGTTAGAAAATAAAAGTAGAGACATTATGAAGAGCCTACACACATTGCAAGAATAGTAAGGTCCCATTATGAACAATTTATGCCAATATATCTGGCAACTTAAATGAAATGAAAATATTCCTTTAAAAACTAAAACTGGTAGAAAGAGACATTTAGAAAACTAAAAATCTCCATTCATAATAAAAACTTTCACACAAGTAAAGCTCCAGATCAAAATGGCTTCGCTAGTAAATTCTAGTAAACATTTGAAGAAGAAACAATACAAATCTTCAGGAATTCTTTTCAAAAACAGAAAAGGAGATACCACATCCTAATCTCATTTATAAGGCCACAAAAACCTAATACCAAATATTACAAAAAAAATTTCAAGAAAAACAAAACTTCAGACCAGTATCTTTCATTGACATAAAAGGAAAAGTATTAAACAAAATGATAGCATTGTGTAAAAAGCTAATATATCATGATCCCACAGGGGTAATTCAAAGAAGTTAAGGTTGATTTACACTCAGAAGTCAGGCAATGTTATTCACCATATTAGAATGAATGAAAGAAAGAGAGAAAGTAGAGACAGAGACAGAAAAGAGAAAGAGAGAAAGGAAAAAAGAAGGAAGGAAGGGAGGAAGGGAGGGAGGGAGGGAAGGAAATGTATGTATATACATCTAAGTAGATACTGTAGAAACATTTGACAAAACTAAACACTAGTTTATATTGAAATCTATCTGCATACTAGTAATAGAAGGCATCTACAAAGAGTCTATAGCTAACATCTTTATTAATTATGAAACTTTGAATGCTTTTTCCCCAATATAAAAAGAAAAAACAAAAATATTTGCTCTCACAACTTATGTTCACTATTGCATTGAAAATCCTAGCTGATGCAATAAGGAATAAAAGAAATTAGCAGGATGACTGGAAAGGAAAATGTAAAGTGCTGTATTATATATAAATGACTTGTCTGTGTACATAAAAATTCTATGTAATTCTCAAAGTTTTTAAAGCCGGGTGTGGTGGCACACTCCTGTAGTCCCAGCTACTTGGGAGGCTGAGGCTGGAGGATCACTTGAGCCCAGGAGTTCTAGGCTGCACTGTGCTCTGATTGCACCTGTGAATAGCCAAGGAATGTCAGCTTTGGCAACATATCAAGACCTTGTCTCTATAAAAAGGAAAGAAAAGAAAAAGAAAAATAATTCACTATTAGTGAATTTAGGCAAGTTCACATGATAAAGGATTAATATTCATGTATTAATCGTAGTTCATATGCTAGCCACAAGCAATGGGAACAGCAATTCATTAAAGTTCCATTTATAATGGCATCAAAAACCCATCAAAATCTTGGAATAAACAAAATTTTGCAAGATTTTTGCAGTGTAAACAACAAGATATTGCCAAAAATTTTTTGAAACACCCGAATAAGTAAATATGCCAAGTTCAAGGACTGGAAAACTTGATATTTTGAAAAGCCCATCCTCCTCAAGTTTACTTATACCTTCAATACAATATTAATTAATCTTAGCAGATTTTTGTTGATTAAATTTCTAAGCAATGCTAAAATTAATAAAGAAACACATTGGATCTAAAAACTCAAACAATTTTCCAAAAAAATTGGATAGTTAATACTACATGATGTCAAGACGTAATCTACAATAAGGAAAAATACTATAATATTGGTGTAAAAATAGAAAAATAGAGCACCGGGACAAAATAGTCCAAAAATCAATCTATACCAATTTTGGACAAAGGTACCAAGTCCATTCAATGGTAAAATATCTTATTAAATAATGATACTGGAACAAATACGTGAATTTAAAAAAATGAACCTTTACCTTGAACCCACTCCAAATCCAAAAATTAATTTGAGATGTTTCATAGATTTAAATATAAACATTAAAACCATACACCTTGTAGATGCAAGTATAAGGAAATGTCTTCATGGTCTTGGTATAGAGAAAGATTTATTTGATAGATACGGAAAACATGAACCTTTTAAAAATAGTTGAAACACTGCATCTCCTCCAAATTTAAAACTTTAGTTTATCAAAGGACATAGTTGAAAACAAATTGGCAAGCCACATCTTGGAGGAAAATAATAGAAATTTAGATATTTGAACAAATTACTCCATTCAAAATATAAAATGAATTCTTATAAATTAATAATGAAAAGACAAGCAATCCAATTAATAAATTGTCAAAAGCCCTGAACAGACACATCACAAAGGAAGATACACAACTGGCTAACAGACATGTGAAAAGATGTCTCAGCATCTTTAGTGATCGGAGCAAAACAAAGCAACTAAAACTACACTGAGATACCATTTCACACCCATTAAGAGACCTAAAATTTAAAAAGCCTCATAGCACCAAATGTTGGATGGGAGTGGAGTGAAGCAATCAGAACTCATACGTTTCAGGTAGAATAAAATGGTACCACCACTTTGGAGAATTGTGCAGCAATTATAAAGTTGAAAATTCATGTCATCCATGATTCAAGAATTTTGCCTGAGATACTTACACAAGGAAAATAAAAAATGTGTCTACAAAAAGACTTGTTCAAGAATATTCGTAACAGCCCAAATATAAGAGAATATCAAGAGAAGAAGATATAAACAAGGAATGGAATATTACACTCATACAATGAAATAATATTCTGCAATGAAAAGCAATGAACACTGATACATGCAATTACATCTATGAATGTCAAAAATCAATATGATTACTGAGAGATTTGAGATGAAGAATAATGCTTATGTTATAGTTATATTTATATGAAGTTCAAGAGCAAGAAATACTAATTTACAATGATAGAAATCAGAAGGAAGTTTCTTCTGGGGAGGAGAGGAGGAAAGATTGATTGGATAGGGACATGGAAAGTATTTCTGGGATGATGAAAATATTTTACATCTTGCTTTCGGTTGTAGATTCTGAGTAGAATGCAATTGTCAAAACTCATGAAGCAGAACACCTAACAGCTGTGCATTTTAATGTGTATATATTACACATTAAGTTTTTAAAGTGAAAGAAAAGAATTTAATGAAAATGTAATAAAGAATGTTTGCCTCTTCCTATCATTGTATTCATCTTTCTTAAATCAAGTATTCAATCTTTTGCTTACTGAATACAACATATATATTCTTCTGGACAGCAGCGATTATCTACAACACAGAGAGTCAACTTAAATTGAACTGACATTTATCAAAGATGTAATATGACTAGGACATTAAATGGAGGAAAAAAATGCAAAAGAGCATTAAGAAAACTTCACTGTTAAAAGTGTTCAACTAAAATTTAAGTTTTCTAAAACTAGATCAGTAGTCTTTCTATACCTTACTCTGTCTTCATTCATGTCCTCTTAAAATCACCTAAATGCACATAAATTTAAAACTGAGAAGATTTTTTCTAATTTTATTAAAGAAAGAAAAAATGTTCAGTATTGTTCTTAAGATTATATATATTTATATATATACTGTTATACAAAATAATATTGATAGAAATGTTTCAATATTAGGAACATGGATTTATAGAGACAACAACAATAAAAACTCATAGGAAGTAGTTGAATAGCAATCCAAATTCTCTTTTTTACATGACAAAACCCACTTAAGGTAGTAAAATTAAGAGACAACAATATCCCCCACTCCATATCATAGTAATTAAATTAAAGACGTATGGTCATTCTAGTGAATGTGATTGTGATACATCAACATCACCAAAATACTAACGTAATCTTTCTGAGAGGGTTATTTAGCTTAAATTTAGAGAGACCCCCGCTGCTGACAAACTTTCATTAGTAATAAATTTAAGGTATAGATATTGGAAACAAGTGTTATGATCAAAGTGAAAATACAAAATAGCCCAGAAAGCAATTTACATTCATCTGAAATATTTTCAATAATAGTTAATGCATACGTTATTACACTAGACTCATTACTGTTTAGCTCTGAAAGGCTAACTATAAGTTTAAAGGTAGTGCAACCAAAGCGAATTCAGTACACAACTTGCAACAATATATTAATGAATTGAAGCAGGTGTACAGCACTTAATTGGGCAAAAATATGAATCAATACTAGATGAATCAATACCAGAGCTGTAGTAACAGTACTGACTAGAAAAGACTTCTTCCATTCACCATGGGCACCTTTGACAAACACAAAACGGCTTTAATGAATATTAAATAATATTCTTTAATTAATATCAATAATATTCTATCATCCTTCATTTACAAGAAAATGAAAAGGCATATAATTCTTTTATACACACATTAGAATTCATACAAAATGAGAACACCTGCTTTTACAGTTAGAAGAAATCATTTTTAACAAAACAAGTACATACAACATTCATTCTCAACTTGTGGAGATTTTGTATGTCATGACTAGAAAACGGCCACATTCTGTTGGAGTCCTTTAACACCTCAAAATAAGCAGGTCCTACATTTAAGAAATGTGTTACAAATGTATTTGCTTAAAATTTACAAATGTAGTTTGAGTTTTGAAGTAAGTATGTGCCAGATTGGAATTTAAACTTAACTAGATGCTAGCATATGCCCCAATAAAATTAAGAAGTTGCCTCCACTGGCAGTTAATTTGTTGCTTAGCTTACTGTATGCAAACTGTGTTATCATTGGTTAAATTAAAGAAATTAGTCACTGAAAAAGTTCCAGTGAATACAGGCAAAGCAATTCTGCAGATTTGCATTAAAGGAGCCAACAAATGCCTTACCCTTAATTTATCAGTGCTTCTGCTACTAAATCCCAATAGTTATTACATTTATCGACTTTATGAAAGCACATAGTTTTTCTCACATTTTTATGGACTTCTTCCCTCTCAACCCTTTAACATTTCTTTTAGAATTACATGCAGTGCAGTGTAGAAAGAAATATGAGGATCAAGCCTGAGACTGTTTTTTAACATCCCTGCTGTCAGGGATTGCTGGTGTGGTCTTAGACACATCCCTTGATCTTGCCAAGCCTCAGTTATCTCCTCTGTATTCTTCTTCCCATGATTACATGGGTCACTGCCTAGGACTGTTCCATACAATGTAAAGCGAGATATTGGTAAAAAGGAGAGATGTTATATAAGAAACCAAAGCTATAATTTATCAATTCTTAAATGTCCATTATGTTTTCTCTCCTCTCATCATGAGAAGGGACTGGACTCATCTATCCTTGAATTTCTTTGATCTTCAAGGCAAAGTTATTCTTACTCTAAGCACCACAGAGCCTTCTATGTGACTCACCTTTTCTGTAAATTCTTGTTGGACAACTTGCAGATTTTCTGAATTTTCTGATGCCAATAGAAGGGCAGATTAATACTGATTTCCTTCTTTAGGTAATTATAGTAGGTAATGGTTAACTCTTTGTGCACTGATTTTGTGCTAAGCACTCTATTAAGTGGCATATAAGCTATAATATCTTTTTTAATTTCTCTAAAACTCTTGTGACATAGTGACTCAGAATCCCCATTTTAACAAGCAGTCAAGTAACTGCCCAAGATATGGCAGCTGAGAGGGGACAGAACTGCCATTTAAACCCAAATCCTTTTACTTTAGGGCTTAAACTCAACCTTCTCCCCCAACTTAACTGATTTCATGTTTTAATTTAGATTCTTAGAAATTGTGTTGACACAAAGAAGTCAATTTCTGCTACATTAGAAAACATGTAAACAGCTAAACCAGAGTTTGACTTCAAAAGAAAAGCAGGCAGCTATATTTGTAAGTGCACCAATTGTCCTCCCCCAGGGTTTCTATACCCAGAGCAGTCAGAATATCTGTAAAATTAAAACCAGCATCATACCATGTCCAAAAGATTAACAGTTCCACAGTACAAAGTTTGTTGATTTAGTAGTGGATTCAGTCTGTCAATCAAAATGCCATAAACAATAACATGATAACAGTTTTCAACATAAATGCTTTTCTTCAGGCTATTTTCACATGTCTTGTTGAATTCTGCCAGAACATTTTCTCTACACATTCTTACTGCATTCTAAGTGCCCATTATAAAGGAAAATTATGCTTTTTTTTAAAGACAGTGTATGTTACACAAAGAGCTAAACTACTAATACTTGAAATAGACCTGTAATCTTATTTGAAGAAACATTAACAAAGTTCTATCTTACAAAAATAAGCAAATGTTAATTTAAAAAATTATCGGTAGCTCTTACCTTAATATTCTTTGCCCGTGGTTATAACCAAATGCTAACATCAATAGAAGCAGAAACCTCTTGGCCTCTCTGTAGGCTGTCTCCAAATATTCACTTATTTTCAGAAGCAGAGAAAGACAAGTTTGAAGAGGGCGGGGAGAAAACCACCCTTACAATAGCCCTGCCATTATTCTCTCAGTGAATGCCTAGCAACAGAAGTCCAGGGACCTAGAAACTAAGATGTCTGAGGGCACTGACCCCCAGCCTGCCTCACGTCCTTTCAGTGTAGCTAGGATCCTAGAGCTCTTACTAAAAAGTGTTATACAACCTGAAGGTTTAGCTGCCACCATGATTAAAGTGTTCAGAATAATGTTACGGCTAAGATAATTTTCTCAAAAATATTGATGGTATTATATCTTCTTGATTAACAATACTTCAGCCAGTACTGAAAATAGGCCTAATAGATAAATCTTATACATTAAGATTTAAATGTTTAATTCCACCCAGTTTAGAAACTAAACAAAAAAAACATGGAAGCTGGGGTAATCTCCTGCTCTAACTTTTTGATTAACAAGATTATTGCAACCCTGGATTACATTCCTGAGAGCATTTCATAGTCACCCACAAGTCATTGATAAAATCTCCAAGACTTAGCTAAAATATTTTATAATTTCTTATACAGCATCTTTAAGTGGATGGAAAATGAGTTGCCAGAGTTTGTTTCATAAGAAAACTTCAGTCAGCTCTAGTGAGCTGAATCTCTTGTACTTAGAGTCCTTCTCTGTTGCAACATTTGTCCTATTTCTTCTGTTGAGTAACCAGACCTTCCTCTCCGAATTGGTGGTGGGGAGGGACTTGTGCTTTTGTTCATCATTTTAATACCAAAGGTCCAATCTTGCACATGACAGGTGATTGATAAATGTCTTGAATTGAAGTGACTTCCTATTTGCTTTTGTAGCTCAAAGTGGTGGAAGCTGTGACATAAGTTTGAGTTCTTCCCCACATGTATTTTGCTCTCTTATGGATTTTTCACTGATCAGCTAAGACTCCCGACTAAGCACATTGTTCATTGTTGACAAACAGTCTCCAGGCTGTTCACTGCTGAAAAAGTCTCCAGACTTTGCACATTCAGATCCCTCTGCTTGAACCCTTTTGAAAGGCCGAAGTGCCACTGTATCTAAATTTCAGCGAGTTTTAAAATATTATACTTTTGAGAGACAAGACAGAGTCTATACAGAGGAAAGAAAAACTAGAACATGGTGTTCTTTTTTAAAGTGAAGCAGGCATTCCACTAGTTGTTTTGCTTTTATAAAATGAGTAGAACCATAACATACTATCATAAATCTCTCTCATAAAATAATACAAATTCTATCATAGAATTCCATGCAAACATGACTTACCAAATTCATGAACAGCATTGAGTTCAGCTCTTCTCTACGTGGCCCTATCCTATCCTATTTAGAGTCAGGGTACATAACTTCTTAATTGCTTTATAAATAAATTATCCCATCACAAGTAGACTAAATTAATAATGAGTTATAAGTCAAAATATTTTTGCTTTGACACTAATGTTTGATTAAACATTACCTTTTAAAATAAATTATGCTTAGGTGGATATATTTTCACATAATTTAAAAAGGCAGATATTTATAACAGTAATTATCCAGCAAAATAAAATATAAAATTATGTTCATATTTTAATGTATTTTATTAATACATTTTATATTTTTATTAATGTTGCTGTAATTTCACAGCAACATAAAACACAAGTCTGAGAATTCAACAGAGAGCACTGTGTGGCCATGAGGCACAGTATCAGACATGACAAAATTGAGCTCACCATGTGCTAATTATTAGAGTAAAATTCGTATCTTTACTAAAATATTACAAAAAATATGAAAACAGCAATGCATAATTTAATACACAGTATATTATATGTAATATAATATCTGTAGAATTATATATTTAGCATATATAATATATAAATATATATACATAATATACACATATAGCATATGGAATACATACATAATTTAGTGTATGTGTAGTGTGAATGCACATATATATATATATGTGCACACATACTAAATAACACCAATAAAATATAGGAAGAAATAAGCATTTTAAAGAACAAGGAACAAAAAATATAAAGAGCTATGGAAGTTTTCAGAGGTTTCTTTTCATTCATTCATCTTTACAAATGAGTGTGTGTGTATGTGTGCACGCGTGTGCACGCACGCACGTATAGAGAAAGAGAGAGAATCTCTGCTTGGAAAAGTAAGCGTCAGAAGGCAAGAAATGTTGTCTTTTATCCCATCACTGTATTTCTAGAAAGTGGCACATTTCTATGTTTTATAAATAATTGTTGAACGAATGCTAAAAGCAGTTCTCAAAAACTAAGTAACGCCACATATTCTGAAGCCCTTTTTTGTGTGTGAGATGGAGTTTCCCTCTTGTCACCCAGGCTGGAGTGCAATGGCTCAATCTAGGCTCACTGCAGCCTCCGCCTCCGGGGTTCAAGCAATTCTCTTGCCTCAGCCTCCCGAGTAGCTGGGATTACAGGCGCCCTACACCACCCCTAGCTAATTTTTTTTATTTTTAATAGAGATGGAGTTTCACCATGTTGGCCAAGCTGGTCTTGAACTCCTGACTTCAGGTGATCCGCCCTCCTTGGCCTCCCAAAGTGCTAGGATTACAGGTGTGAGTCACCATACCCGGCTTTTTTTCTGAAGCCTTTTACATCTCTCAGTATTACTTTTTCTTCTGCAGCCAGGGGTAATTTATGGAAAATGTTAATCAGAGTATGTATGCTCCTGTGTTTGTTAAACTTTTATCTTCCCGTTGTGTCTAAAACATTGCTCAGATTCTCAGGCACGAAGTGGTCTTCTTACCACTACAATTGCATCTTCACACCCACCATTTCCTTTGCCTACTAGGTCCCAGCCACACTGGCATTCTTCAGTTCTCAAACTTGCCTTTTAGTAATTGAACATTTTCTGCTCCCTGCCTAGAAATCTATCTTCCCTTCTCCCCATGGCTGTTTCCTTCTCATGGTTAATTCTCAGCTTATATAACTCCCTCTTCTCTGTAAATATCTCCTTAAAAACAATATATTTCACAATTATTCATTTACTGCTCATTTCCTTCCTACCACATATCACAATTAGTTGTTCCTTTACTTATTACTTGTTTTCAATCATTCTCCCCACTTGAATCACTAAATTCCATAGTGGCAAAGGAACATATCTATCATGTTCATTTGTTTGATCATACTGCCTGGTATGATATTTTACATACAGTAGGTGCTTAATAAATATTTAAGTGAGTGGTGAAAAGTAACCTTGAACTCCCATAGCTCTTCATTTGTATTGTGCTATAAGCACTTCATTCTACCTTGTATTAGAGTGATTTGGAATGTAACTGGAATGTAAGGTCCTCCATGAGTCCAGTGCATATGTTTTGATTTCCTTCTTTGTCTCCTATAGCACTGGTGACAGATATTGCTAGCTATTTGCTGTGGTAGATGATGTGAATTACTGTACATGCAACTCCCAGTGTCACACTCTAAGACACTCTATAATTCTGCTGGTGTATAGACAGACGTACTAATACATTTGAACTTGGAATTGAACATTATGAAACTTTGGTTTAGGACACTGAGTTTTTTTGGTAGATGGAGGTGTGGTCTCTTTGTCTGTAGCAGTACTGGCAAAGTATCGATAATCAAGTTCATCTAACTTTACAATCTTCATTTGCCTCATCTGCCAGTAATACCTGCTTCATGGAATTATTACAAAATGTAAATAAAATAACACAGAATTTAGCAAAAGACTTTCCATGTAGAAAATATTTAATAAATGTTAGATAAAAACATTATCAGTAATGTCTATTTTCTCTCTGTCTCTGTATATTACCAAGCAAAGGCTCTAGCTTAGGAGAGAGAATTAAAGCATCTATTTGAGATATATGTTTGAGTGGATATAATGACTTATTTTTGTATTTAAGACAAAAATGAGTTGAAAGTAAAGATTTTATTTATGAAAAAAATCCATAGAACACCTTTATGAAAAAGAATTCAAGGATACTTTTGCCATACTGAACTACTGGCAAGAAAAAGATATAAAACATAAAAAAAGATATTAAAAACCTTATAATTAACATATATCCATGAGAGTGGAAAAAAATCAGTATTTTACATTTATATGTAAAATATTGCATATATATGTATATATGTACATATGCTGCAAAGGTGAAAAAACAATTCTAGATGCTGGAAATTAATTTTATAATCCAACGCCAGTCAGGTATCTGCCTTTATTATGAAAACTATATGGTGACTTGAATATCTCAGAATTTTCAAGTATCATCTTCCAAAAATCTCTCTCTCAAATTTGAATGAGACAGATAAATTCACCATCAGTAAGCATATGATTGTTGGAATAGAAGGATAGGATGGTTAATTAAAGTTGAGTCTCTTCTGTTCAGTTTGGGTTTGGAAATGTGCATTGGAAAATGACACAAAATCATATTTTTCTGGGATTTGATGAATGGCGTGATCAGCACCAAATCATTTTCTACCCTCCTTACATCAGGTGATTTGCTATTGAAGAGTGTTTAATAAAGGAAAGCCAAACTCAATACATATATGAAAAGAAGGAAATGCTATCATTGATTTTGAACTAAGAAAGGAGAACAGTTTTTATTTTTATGAAAACCTTATTTAACCTTTAGGGAAATATATAAAGAAAACATTTAAGGCTTTGTAAAAATCCTGACAGATTTTATTACTGAGTGTACATGTGGCCTGAATCAAATGTTGCTTTGTAAACGTGTTGAAATAATGTTGGAACTAAGACCTGACATTACTAATTGTAATAGGTTGAACAAATGCTTATTTGAAAGAATACTGGGTCTCCACTTACTCCTGCTGGGACCATTTTCATTTTCTGTGCTCTGTCATCATCACCTGGGCTGCTTTTGCTATTTTCTTTTCTCTAGCTGTTTCATATAATGTTTAAGTGCATCTAAGCTGTACCTATGTGAGCTAAGTCCTCTATGATTAAAAAAAAATTGCCGATATGTGATTTAGATGATAGTATAACAAATTAGTTGTATTATTAATAATAATGATGAGAAAAATCATACAAATGCATTATTTGGGTTGTGCACCTTTATTTGAAGTCATATATAGTGTCAATTTTAGAGTATTTATAATTATAATTAACTGCTCGATTATCTCCTTAATTTAATATTCAAGAAATATTAAAATATTTTTAAAATAGCATACACTTAAGGCAATAGTACAAATACAGTGAAATTGTCATTTCACTTTAAGAAATGCCATCAAATTTGGGTGTTGATTCAAACAAATCAATTGCAAAAAGACATTTTGAGAAAATCAGAAAAATTTAGTTATGGACTGAGTATTAGATAAATAGGAATAATTTGATTTAGTCCCATGTGATAATTTTGTAGATATATAAGAATATGGCTATACATTTAGAGATGCATGCTGAAGAACAGAAATCCAGTGATATAGAATTTCTTTAAAATACTTCAGCAAAAGGAAAAAAGATTTAAAAACACAATTTTGTCAAAATTGTGATACTTTCATTTGGGTATTGGGTATATGGGAATTTATTATTTTCTTTTTTTCTAAATTTTTAAAATGGAGAACTGAGTAAATAGGCAAAATCTATGAAAAATTGATTGCTTGGAAATGCATAAAAAATAAATATGACAGTCGTTTTGAAAATGCCATCCATTTGGCTTCCACACTGGCTGCTTTGGAGGCTCTTTCCTAAGGACCCTTGCAGAGGCCGTTTCTTCTCTCAGAAACACTCTTGCCCAGGTTTCACAGGGCTCTTCCAGAGGGCTTGCTCCCTCACCCCTTCAAGTCTTTCTTTATTTGTTACCTCATTGAGCTTTTCCCTGATTATTTTATTTACACAGTAATACCCACCACCCTCCCCTAATGTTCTGTATATGTTTCCTTGCTTTATTTTTCATATAGTGCTTATTATTGCCTAATACACTACACAATTTACTTTTTTTTTTTTTTTTTGACACAAAGTCTGGCTCTATCGCCCAGGCTGGAGTGCAGTGATGCTGTCTTGGCTCACTGCAAACTGCCTCCCGGGCTTAAGCCATACTCCCACCTCAGCCTCCCCAATAGCTGGGACAACAGGTGTGTACCACCATGCCTGGCTAATTTCAGGCTGGTCTGGAACTCATGAGCTCAAGTGATCTGCCCGCCTCGGCCTCCCAAAGTGCTGGGATTATAGGCATGAACCACTGCGCCCAGCCACAATTTACTTTTAATTGTGTATATTATTTGCCCCCCTCCTCAGTAGAATGTAAACTCTGTTAAGGCAGAATTTTACTTCTGCTCTAGTAACAGCAATATTTCTAGTACTTGCTGAATAAAGTAATAGGACAGATTCTGAAAGATGAGAGAGTAGCTATATTTCTGCTTGTGGTTACTAGGCAAAGGTTTAAAGAATGAAAAAAAGGTATTGAGGGAAGAAAGGCAACATTGCAAATGTGACTCACAGCCCATATAGGCCAAAAAGTGCAGAAATATTCCCTCGTTCAAAAATATCTCAGAGAACTTCTCACACCCTAAAATTTCATTTAGATTCACAAGTTCTGCTTTAAAATAAGCCTTTTGGAAAATTAAACTTTTATTTTCTTATACTTCATGATGAAAGTTTAGATAGTTGATTCTGTGACAATCAAGAAATGATGAACGTTTTAATGGGAATATGATGAAAGATGAGACCATGTTGGAATATACCAGGTGAGGTGGTGAACTTTAGACAAATAAGCGCTAGAAAATGGATAGAAAGGATGAAGTGGCGGTGAGGTTCTGAAGTATGTATAGTGTTAATGTTTAAGTCAATTATAATTTTATAACAAAACTCTATGTTTAAGAAATTAATTCCTTTAAAGGCCGAGGCAGGCAGATCACTTGAGCTCATGAGTTCGAGACCAGCCTGATTTCTAAAACCTGAAATCAGAATACTTATTCTGTTTTTAAAATGTATAAATGTGTAATCTTGCATTTTATAGACCTAAACTCTGACTGAAATAGCCTTATTTTTTAATGTCTTACTGTTTTCCAAAATTGTGCACCTAAATGTATGCTTGGGTTGTCTTACACCTAGATGCTGAGACAAGATTTTCATCACCTATAATTTTGCTTCATCTATTTAGGCACCTCTTTCAATAAATATCAAACAGAGACAAAGTTCCTTAGTAAGAGATGTTTAATAAAAAAGGGATATAGAAGGGAAAGAGAAGAAGCAACAATAAAAAAATATTAAATGAAGATAACTAGTCACTTAAAAAGCTCTCTTGTTTTGGTTTTCTAAACTGCTTTTTGACTAGTTGGCAGTGTGTTTGGGGTAAGTTACTGGGCCTATGTTTTGTTAGATATAAACTGAAGGGGCTCCACTCATGATCCCTAGATGCTGAGACAAAGTTCCTTAGTAAGTAACGTCAATGATGTCTTCGAAAAATTTTAGCAACCTGTCGTAGGTGACAAATAGCCAGAGAGAGGGAAGGCCTGATGTGTATCACTTACCAGTTCTGATCAATTTCCACTGTATAAATATTCCCTCTGTGGCTACTTTGGTGGGCTACCAACATGATCCTATGAAATAAGATTTATAATTTAATTCCATTGTGTTCAGAGAACATGTATTGTATGAGTTGAATTTAAAAATATTTTTTGAGCCTTGTTTTTTGGTGCAGGATATGGTCTATCTTGTAAGATGTCCAATACACATTTGAAAATACTGTTTATTCTGCTGACATCAGGTGTAGTGTTCTAAAAATATCAATTAGATCAAGTTGATTGATAGTGTTATTTAAGTCTTTTATATCCTTACTGAATTTCTGTCCACTTATTTCATATATTGTTAAGGTGTGTTGAAATCTGTAACTATAATCATACATTTGTCTATTACTCTTCGTAGTTCTGTTAGTATTGGCTTCTTGTATTTTCATGTTATTAGATACCTGGAATAGGCAGAATTCTAAGGTGGTCCCCAAGATCTTGCTCCCTGATGTGCATGCCCTGTATAATCCTTGGAGATTATCCTCAGTGAACCTGGCCTAATCAGGTTAGTCCTTAAAAGGGACAAAGGTTCTGGTGAAAGACATTCAAAGTATTAGAAGAATTCCATGTGAGAAGGATTCCTTGTTCCTGGCTTTGAAAACAGAGGGGGCCATGTGGCAAAATAGAGTTGACCTCTAGGAGCTGAGTGACCTTCAGCTAACAACCAGTGAAGGAATGGAGACCTCAGTTCTATAACTGCAAGAAATTGAATTCTGTCACAGCATGCGGGCTTGGAAGAGGCTCCTGAAATCCAGACTAGAATACAGTCTAGCTGCCACATTGATTTTACCTTTTGAAACTGAATCGAAAATGTTATGTTGAGGCTTCTGAGCCACAGAACTGTGAGCTGATAAATGGGTGTCTTCTAAAGACATTAAGCTTCTGGTAATTGGTTATGCAACAAAACAAAACTGATACAGTGCATAAACATTTTAGATTATTATGTCCTCTTCATTAATTGAACACTTTATCATTATGAAATCATCTTCTGTATCACTGGTAATAGTCTTTGATATGAAATCTGCATTGTCTTATATTTAATATGTCCATTCCACCTTTCTATGATAAATGTTCGCATAGAATATCTTATTCCATCTCTTTACTTGTAACCTAATTATGTTTTTATATTTAAATTGGATTTACCGTAGACAGCACGTAGTTGGGTTTTACTGTTTTATCTAACCTGATATTGCGTGCTTTTTAATTGCAGTGTTTAGACTTTTACATTTAGTGTGATTGTTACATGTTGAATTTAAGCCTCCTGTCTTGTTGTCTTATATTTGTCCTAACCGTTCTTTGCCTCTCCTCTTTTTTTCTTTTCCTACCTTCTTTTGCATTAATAGAGTATATTTTATGATACTACTTATGATTCTCCTTTGTTGGCTTATTAGCTATAACTCTTTATAGACTCATTTTAGTTTCTGTAGGGTTTATAGTGTCCATCTTTAACTTATTACTGCTTACCTTCGAGTAATATTATACTACTTATTGTAAAGTATAAGAACTTTACAAAAGCATACAATTTAAAATTACCCTTAGAATGACTACAGAGGACAATCTAATTCTAAAAAGGAGTTTACAATTTCACGTGTAAATTTAATAACATTGGAAAACACTGCCTCAAACTAAGTTGAAATAAGCTACTATGAAATGTTAAACTACTTCTGTGAACAACAGCATTAAGAAAGTGGTCTGAAATGTAACCCAGGCTAAGGATCCTTCTGTAACATTGCAAACTTAAATTGTTCAGAACTTTCCTGAATTTCCTTTTATCTGTTAGTGTGTTAACAATTTTATTATACCAACAAATCTGTTTGACAAACTGTGGAGAAACAGTGACAGAGATGAAGCAATAAATAATGTGTATATGCAATATATTAGCTTATTATGAAAAAAATAAAATAAAGTTCAACATATTTCTTTGAAATTACAAAGCCTATTATAGAATTGTTTTTTTAAACACTGAAGTAAACACTTAAAATTTTTAGTAGTAAATTGATCACAAAAACCAATCATGTGTAATTTGAACTATCTTTTTTCCTTGTAAATGTAATGGGAAATGTTCCCTTGTCCCCCTTGCCAGGGCGTGCGATGGGGGTGTGGCTTGCTTCTTCTTAATAAAGGTATTCTTTTACTTTTCCCTGTATCTGTAAGATTAATTACATAAAACATTTGAAACATTAGGTGTATTTAAAGAGAAGAAATTATAAAATTCACATTATCATAAGTTAAATATTTTGAAATATTAATTTTATTCCTCCAAGTGTAAGATATATATTTATGTGTTGCCATAGTCACATGTTTACTCATAGTTGAATTTAATCTACTTGTGTTTCTGAGGCTAAGAATGACTTTTTTTAATTAAAAAAGAAAGAAGAATAGGAAAATTTTTTTAGTGAATCTAGAATTATCTTCATTATTTGGAACTAAAAGCCACTCTTATCTTAACAATGGAATGTAAATTAAGGTGCATTATCTTTCAAAACTGAAAGTATCTTTATCTCTGATATCTATTATTTTACTTATTATTTTAAAGCATAATCTGAACTAGGCATATTTTTAATAGTTGCTAATTTTTAGGCAAATACGTCATATTTATAACAATTTCAAGATTCTACATGTTAATCAGTATAAAAGAGATGACAAACGCCTTTGTATGTGGAAATACAGCATGAACAAAGCTTTGTAACTTTTTCTCTTGAATAAATTGAGAACATGGACAAAATTAGTCTTAACCTTTTCTTGAAAATTAGTAGAGAAAGAAATTGTAGCTTTTAAGGGCATGCAATTTTGTTTCTAAACAACAGATGGCACTATCAAATTCTAGATTTACTAAAAATTTTTTCTATTTTTCTCCCTTTTTTAAAATTAAAGAAAGTCATAATAACTGTCTTAGCTTCAGAAACACAAGTAGATCAAATTATAGAATTACAGCCTTTACTGGCATTCAATCTTGAAGAACAATATTTGTAGGATCTTGAATAAAATACTGCTTTTTCAAAATTAACACTTGATGGTAGTTAAAAAGCTGTTTGATCAAATTTTAGAAGTATTAACATCAAAACAAATGAAATCAATGCTCATAATTGATTTACACCAATAGCAACTGAATTCTCCACTTTACAACTAGGATATTCTCTTCTGAGCATCAGTAGAGATAAGGATGTTCTGTGAGGGAAGAGGCTGACCTGGACTACACTAGAACTGAGTAGCCTCTGGGAAGCCCAATATCTGACAGTCACATAGAACTTAAAATGCAAATCAGGTCAAATAATAAAATGATCAATT
Organism: Homo sapiens; assembly: GCF_000001405.40. Lineage (NCBI taxonomy): Eukaryota > Metazoa > Chordata > Mammalia > Primates > Hominidae > Homo > Homo sapiens. Next base: position 89,868,714 of record NC_000004.12, on the reverse strand, counting down.
TGGTTTTTTTTCTTTCCCTCAAGAACTATAGTCAGGGTAGGACATTTGGAGACAGAGCTGAGAAGGAAGAATGATTTTTAAAAATGGTTTTGTTCTCACAGAAAATAAATGCCCCAGTCTGGTATAGGAAAAGCAGACTCATTTATTGTAGAATTTTGCTATGGGCATGAGTTCTTTGGCAGGAGTGCCTACAGTCAGCAACTTTATCTCCATGACTCCCCTATTCTGGTTCACTCCATAACTGCCAAGTAAGGCTGGAGGTAAAGTTGCCAATTTCAACCATTTATTTATCTATGTGTTCTCTTATATCCTACTCTCAGCAATCCTAGTGAAATACCAGTCTGTTGTATCAAGTATTCTTTCTTAGAACAACCTTCTAGAAATTTAGCCTAAAATATTCTTGATCTCTCATTATCCCATTTCTCTTCTTTATATCTTTTTTCTTTAAAAAAAATTCAAACTTTTTCTCTCTAATGTCTTCTTTATCACTCAAGAGTAATTTATCACATACCTTTGTTCTCCTTACTTAGCAAAGTATTAATAATTTATCCTTTTCCATTTTTCCTACATCAATCCTTTCAAATTCTTATTTTGCTTGACAAAATAGATATGGAATATAACTAACTCATTTTAATCTCACTTAATATTTTTTCCACTTTAGGATATCTCTTTATGTGTAGCTTGGAAGAGCCCCCTACTTCAGTTTATATGTTCGCTATTTTTATTTCTCTTCTGAACTTAGATAAATGGATTATTCAATTATTTTGAGGGTACTATGAGCAATATACAATTGCTCTTTTAATTTAGTAACAGTGAGAGTAAGTTTAACTCTATTTTCCCAAGACTGAAAAACAAAAGCCTTAAGTAGTAGTCACTTTCCATTCTTGGTTGTGCAAAACTCTAGGGTTTCATTAATTACCTTCGGATGTCATGATGTTCTCAAAAACAAACCAATATAAAACTAAGGAGTGTCTAAGGCAAGCTTGTCCAACCCACAGTAGGTTGAATGTGGCCCAACATAAATTTGTAAACTTTCTTAAAACATTATGAGTTTTTTTGTAAACTGCTTTAAATTTCATATGGAACCAAAAAAGAGCCCACATAGCCAAGACAATCCTAAGCAAAAAGAGCAAAGCTGGAGGCACCACACTACCTGACTTCAGACTATACTACAAGGCTACAGTAACCAAAACAGCATGGTACTGGTACCAAAACAAATATATAGACCAATGGAACAGAACAGATGCCTCAGAAATAAGACCATACATCCACAACCATCTGATCTTTGACAAACCTGACAAAAACAGGCAATGGGGAAAGGATTCCCTATTTAATAAATGGTGTTGGGAAAACTGGCTAGCCATATGCACAAAACTGAAACTGGACCTCTTCCTTACGCCTTATACAAAAATTAACTCAAGACGGATTAAAGACTTAAACATAAGACCTAAAACCATAATAACCTTAGAAGAAAACCTAGGCAATACCATTCAGGACATAGGCATGGGCAAAGCCTTCATGACTAAAACATCAAAAGCAATGGCCAAATTTGACAAATGAGCTCTAATTAAACTGAAGAGTTTCTGCACAGCAAAAGAAACTATCATCAGAGTGAATAGGCAACCTACAGAATGGGAGAAAATTTTTGCAATCTATTCATCTGACAAAGAGCTAATATCCAGAATCTACAAAGAACTTAAACAAATTTACAAGAAAAAATAACCCCATCCAAAAGTGGACGAAGGATATGAACAGACATTTCTCAATAGCAGACATTTGTGCACCCAACAAACATATGAAAAAAAGCTCATCATCACTGGTCATTAGAGAAATGCAAATCAAAACCACAATGAGATACCATCTCACGCCAGTTAGAATGGCAATCATTAAAAAGTCAGGAAATGGCCTGGCGCGGTGGCTCACGTCTGTAATCCCAGCACTTTGGGAGGCCGAGGTGGGCGGATCACGAGGTCAGGAGATCAAGACCATCCTGGCTAGTACGGTGAAACTCCATCTCTACTAAAAAAAAAAAATACAAAAAAATTAGCCAGGCGTGGTGGCAGGCACCTGTAGTCCCAGCTACTCGGGAAACTGAGGCAACAGAATGACGTGAACCTGGGAGGCGGAGCTTGCAGTGAGCAGAGATCATGCCACTGCACTACAGCTGGGGCAACAGAGCGAGACTCTGTCTCAAAACAATAAAAAAAAATCAGGAAACAACAGATGCTGGAGTGGATGTGGAGAAATAGGAATGCTTTTACACTGTTGGTGGGAGTGTAAATTAATTCAACCATTGTGGAAGACAGTGTGGCAATTCCTCAAGGATCTTGAATCAGAAATAACATTTGACCCAGCCATCCCATTACTGGGTATATACCAAAAGGATTATAAATCATGCTACTATAAAGACACATGCACACCTATGTTTATTGTGGCACTATTCACAAAAGCAAAGACTTGGAACCAACCCAAATGACCATCAATATTAGACTGGATAAAGAAAATGTGGCTCATATTCACCATGGAATACTATGCAGCCATAAAAAAGGATGAGTTCGTGTCCTTTGCAGGGACATGGATGAAGCTGGAAACCATCATTCTCAGCAAACTAACACAAGAACAGAAAACCAAACACCACGTGTTCTCACTTATAAGAGGGAGTTGAACAATGAGAACACATGCACACAGGGAGGAGAACATCACACGTCGGGTCCTGTCAGGGGGTGGGGGACTAGGAGAGGGATAGCATTAGGAGAAATATCTAATGTAGATGATGGGTTGTGGGTGCAGCAAACCATCATGGCACGTGTATACCTACGTAACAAAATTGCACGTTCTGCACATGTACCCCAGAACTTAAAGTATGCTTATATAAAAAAAGAATAAAGCAGAAGGGGAAAGAAGAGGACAAAAAATAAAAATCGATAAAGCTGAAAGATTTACATAAACAAATTATGAGTTTTTTGTGATTTTTTTAAGCTCATCAGCTATTGTTAGTGTTAGTGTATTTTATGTGTGGCTCAAGACAATTCTTCTTCTTCCAGTGTGGCCTGGGGAAGCCAAAAGATTGAACACCCTTGGTCTAAGGTGTACTGAAAGCTCTAATGGGGGGGTCAGAGAAGGATGAGATTGAAGAAGACATAGCTGCTGACATCCTATTGTCAATCTCGAGTCTACCAAGAAAATAATGGCAGTAACAGGAGTAGCATACTAGGTTGTTTAACAGGTGACAGATACATATGTAAATGAATAAAGATCAATTTTCCTTGAAAAACATAGATGTCCAGTTCTATCTCTCATATTTTTTCTTTTCATAGAGATATGGCACTTTAGGATTAATTTAAGCTGCAAACAGCAGAAAAATGCAAAATAACAGTGGCTTAAATGAAATAGAAATATTTTATCTCTTGAAAAAGTTCTGATAAAGACAGTCAAATGCTAGAAGGGCAACTGTGTTCCAGAAGGTTCTCAAGGAGCCAGGCTACCTCTAACCCACTGCTCTGCCATCTCTAATTCATGTCGTATGTCCTCAGGGTCCACAATGGCAGTAAGAACGCTCCTCATCATATCTGTGTTTCAAATAGTAGAATGGAGAGAAAGAGAAGAAAAGGAGGCATTAAGGAAGGTTCCAGAAGCTGCCATTTGACACTTCTGTTAACATTTAATTGGCCAAAATTTAATCTCATATCGCATAAGCTGTAAGAGATGCTGGAAAACTTATTTGTCTCCACTCTACATGGACATTATCAGAGTATTTCTCAACAGAGAGGTCTATGTAATAATAGTAAAAAGTAAGAGTGGACACAAACCTAGTCCTTTACCTTTCAGTAGAAGTAAAAATGCTATATTAATATTTACTCTCTCTCTCTCTCTCTCTCTCTCTCTCTCTCATTTTTGGTTTTGACAATCAAATTCAGCTAAATATGATTGAAACTAAAATCAAGGAAAATGCATTATACTCTGTTGTTATGGTAACTGGAATGGTGAAATGTGTGGATTATTTTCACACCTTCAATAATATGTTTCTAACCATATATTTTTTAAAAATTGCTGCAGGGTTTGCTTAATGACCAGAGTATAAAGGCACATTTTTTTCTCAGTTGGCAAAAACACAGTTTTGACAAATTTGACAAGTTTTTGTAGATCTGTAATTTATTTGATTTAATTAAATTTTCATCTTGTTTTCACAATGAGTTATTGAAAATAAAATCTAAAGCTTTAAACAGGAAAATTTTAAATTTGAATTTTCTTGGTTGAACTACTTATACTTTTCACTTTCAATTCACTAACAGAATAAATACATCATTCCACTGAATATGAGCCATCCATACAAAGAGTCCATGACCAAATGCAATGTCACTAGGTATTTAAAGTAACCTATAAATTATGTTCTGTCTCATTGTCCACAAAATATTACAACCTGCATATTTGGAAAAACATTTTGTTCATGATATGTACATATATGAGGCATGCATATGGATAAATACATATAAAGTTGTGAAAATTAGGCAAATTTTATATTTTCGTCCACTCTTGAAACTTTCATTTTTCAAAAACAAAATTTAAAATGCTAACTTTTAAAATAAATGTGCCATAGTAGCACAATATGTTAATATTGGGGAAAACTGCATGGAAAATATACAGAAATGCTTCATACTTTACAATTCTTTTGTACATCCCATATTATTTCAAAAGTTAAAAGTTTTAAATATGTTCAGTCTTGAAATGTATCAGAAATGTTTATCTAAAGTTTTGTTGGTGTTAAGATTAATATATTAGTAATATTACACACAGAAAGACAGAAGGTAAAAGTAAAGTTAGTTTGAATATGACTGTCATTTTAAGTCATTAACATTTAACTTTACCAACTTCATCTCAAGTTGGCCCATATCACTGCCCAACTTAAACACATGGCTACATGCAGCAGGTAAAGTACATGGCAGGACTATTGAGATATCAAGGAGTCACTGTGTGTCAGGAAATGATAAAGTTCCCCAGCGTCTCCTCACCTGTGTCAGGCCGACTTAGGGAAACCACATTCTACGTTCATAAAGAGTGATCTGCGGGCTTGAAAGGCAAGTAAGCAGAAAGAAGTGTTTATCCCAGCAATTCATGAAAATGTTGAAAAAAAAGAAAAACTAAGTCAGCTTTCCTTAGAACCCAAGTTTCGGCCTGCCTTTTAAAATTTTCTCTATCAAAGCTGCCACCTTTTTTCCAGATGCTCAAGATAAAACACTCAACACAGAAATGCATGATTTTGTTGCTGAGATACCGGTTTGTTGTTTACACTCTGCCCTCCTATCCATTGCACCTTCCAGTTCCGCTTGCTCTCAGTCTTCACCTCTGATTGCTACTTACACAATTTATCCCATGAAACACCATCAGATTATTCCAGCACACACCAGTATCTCTGGGCCTTCCCTGGTGCACTGCACTCTCTCCTTTCCACAGAGCCTGTGGAAAGAGTGGCACAGTAGCTGGAGGGGCACACAGGGTACAGAGCACCTTTCCCCACCCAACTCTTGCGGTGCTGTAGACCTGAGGTGGTACCATGAAGGAAACATGGACAGTTGAGACCACATGCAAGAGCCCAGACACACGGCTCAAGCTCCCAGGGTCAGTGATAGTGTATAGCTAGCTGGGAACCCTGCACTGGCCCTGTGTTCAACATGAGTGGGTCACCCTAAAAGACATTTCAGCGTGGTTCTGCCTACCAAATCTTGCAAAGAAATACCTCTCCACTCAGTGAGAAGTGATCCACTAGCCAGGCTGCCCTCCTAGACCTGAATTAACCATAGAGTCCCAGAATTATTCTATAGGCTTGAGCCCCAGCATTCTGTGGGGCATCTGGTTGACCCCACAGGCAGCAGGGCTAGGAAGTCTGAGAGTAGCATCTCAAAAGGGTGAAGAGGCTGGCCCACAGGGGTCCTGTTCAGGCTGAGAGTGCAGCTCCTGAAAAGCACTGCAAACCCTGAAGTTCCCAGCGTGGGAGGGAGGGCGATTTGGAGAATTGTGAGGAAGGCATTCCAAAGTGCTACGGTGCCCAAGTGAAGACTTACGTCGAGAAGAAATAGAAAAATGACAGCTTTTCCCCAAGTGGTAACAAGAATTAGCTAAACCAAGCCTAATTGTATATTCTTCCCAATTTTAACCCATTTATTAAATCACTGAAGCTCTCCTGAGCAGAATAAGGGGTAGGGAAAGAATTCAGAATAATTCAGGGAAAATGCCTCCTCATGAAAACTCTAAAATTTGGAAAACGGTTGGTTCCTAGTAATCGAGATAGCTATATTTTCCTTCACTTACCAAAATGAAACTTAGGAAGTTCATTCTCTTTTACTCCTAATCTGCAAATACCTTAGTCCAGTGAACAAATGTGAACCGAAAGAGCCAATCTTTCAAAATACAACCTGAGTGGCTAAATGGGGCTATGTTTTAAATAGAGGCAAGTGGCCATTTGCTGACTAAAGATCACACATGTATACTCTGAGTTCCCTGAAAACCTACAGCTCTGCTCAACTTTGGGACTTCCAGAGCTCACCTGATCTACCAATCAGGCCTGGACTGCTTCAACCAATCAGGGCTCAGCTGTATCAAACAATGGGAACTGAGCATTTGCATAAACAAACCTGACTGGAAACTTGGGTGGGAACTTTTGCCATAATAACTGAACCCTCTCTTGGTTCTCTGGATCACACCTTCATTTTACACCAAAAGCTTTGAATCACGGTTTGCAAACTGTTCACTGGAATAAAGTCTCTTTCTTCCAAATTCCTTTTCAGAGAACTTTTGTTCACAGTCCCTATTATCCGAGATAAATCTGTAAGCAATATGTATGTGATGGAAAATGTTTCTTCCTTCCTCCCCAACTTTCAATCCTTGTTCTTTTCTAATCATCTTATAGATAATGTCTAAGAAATTGGCTTATTTAAGTTAAAAGTTTTGACTTCCTTACTACTCATTTGAAAGTACAAAATACCTCAGTTGCACATGCCTACCTACTACGTCAACAGTGTGCTGCTGCATATTAAAAGAGATCCAATTTCAAATCACCTAGAAAAGGCTAAATCTTACTTTTTCTTGCTTTAGATGACCTCTCTCTATATATAAGGCTGATATCAGCCACAAACCTCCCCTTCCTTGTGAGAGGAGGGCAGCCTTCAAACTGAAGTTCAGAGCATTGTTGTACAATATTCCTGAGGTATATTGCTCCCCATAGGATTGGGATCTGTGCCATAGAACCTATAAATGGGATTTACACAAGTTTCTGTTATTGTCCAGGGAATAAATTTTGGACCACAAAAGTGAAATATATAATTCCCAATGCCTTTTAAATGTATAAATATGGACAGCAGCTCAGTGCACTTTTCACTGGATTAACAGCATGCTGCTATATTGCGATACTGCCAAAAAAGACCTTATATTTCAAAGCAGAATACATTAGTCCTAGAAAAGGAGAAGAGCAGCTCTAGGGTATGTCCATGATCCCTCTGTGAATCTATTGTCTGCTTCATTGCCTGAGGCAGAACAAAAGAGCACGTGGCCAAGAATGAGGCTCTGGATCAGCCCAGCTTGGGTCCTCGGCCTCAAACTATGGCCTCAGCGACAGTTTCCTGATTTGCGGAGTAAATACTACTGTGAGTATCCAACACAATTCAGAGGATTGAATGAGGTTAATTAACTTAATTAACAAGTATTAATTAATTAATTAAAAACACTAGGTCACAGCCTGGGCCATAATAAGCTATCAATAAACACTTACTATTGGTGTTAGCAATCTTTACTTTTATTTAAGTGATGTAATTACTCCAATGTACTTTATTTGAGTGATGGAATTATAGATATATATTTATAACTTATATAAGTGTAAGTAGTTACACTTTTGGAATATACTTATACAAGTACTTATATAGGTTATATTAAAGTATATATTTATAACATATTTATAGGATTAATGTAAGAATATTTTTTATAAAATGATCTAACATGCTAAAATATAGAAATTAATTAGTAAAATTATAATTTACTTTAGCTTGTGTTTATTTGACACCAACTACCTGGACATTTAGTCCATTTACTGCAGTACTTCTCCAGGTATGATTCTTGGGCCAGCACCATCAGCATTACCTGGGAAATGAGTTAGAAATGCACATTCTCAGGCCCCACCACAGGCCCATATAAAAACCATGGATTTAGTGTATCTAGAAGGACAAAAATCAAAACACTTAGCTTCATTCAGGAAAAAAATAATTCTGATATTGATAGATACCTCTCTTCACTTTTAAAAGTTTCTTCTTATAGAAACCAGATCTGATTGTATTGTTAAAATTAAACTTGTAAATTTTTTCACAACGAATTTCCTGTATGGTGGTCTATGTTTGGGGAAATACTCATCCCGGAACTCAACTGTACAGGGTTGGGCATGTTTTACATACAAGTGTATGTCTCTCTTCTTGTCTTCCTTCTCCCTTGAACCCTAGTCTCCCTCCCTGCCTTTTCAGAAGTTTCCCCCTGGAGTTCTCAGCCTATTCTCTTTTATCTTTCCATCCAAACGTAGTCACCAATATAGTCCTCTTTTCTCTCTCAATCTACACAGCAGAAGCCTCCACTGCTGCTTTAGAATCCAGAGATATTTCCAATCCCATTATCCCCAAAGATGAAGTCTCTCTTAAAAATCGAGATTCTCTATTTTAGTAGTGGTGGCTCTGTGTTCATGCTGTTCCCTCTGCCTAGAACAGCATTTCTTCATATTTTCACATATTTTTACAGCACATGGCACATAAAAAGCACACAATAAACACCAACATTCTGAGTTAAAAATGTGAAATGTCTTTTCCTGCAAAAATAATATATGCCTGGTGTTTGTCCCAGTTCAATACACATTTATTGACTGCCTAATACTTTGCAGGCATTGAACAAAGCATGGGGTAGAAATAATAACAGTATTTTCTCCCCACACTGAAGTAGTGTGCACTCTACAAATAGGGAAGATATATATATCTTCCTTATATTATATATATTTATATATATAAATATATATTTATATTATTTATATATATATAAACATATATATATAAATAGATTACTTTCACATAATGTCACAGGTGTAGCAATAGGAGAGTACACACAGTGGCTTGTGAATACTGAGGCCAACTTGAGAGATCAGAAAAGGTTTTTAGGAGAAGGTGATGAAGGGCTGAATATATTTTAAAACTGTTAAATGTGTTTTCAAAGGGCAATAAACACCCATATGTTCCATAAATATTATAAACAGCATGCTTATTCAAGTTAGTTCAGATTATGTTTTCAAAAGCAAAATAGATTTAAGTCACACTTATTCTTTCCTTTAAATAAAATGTTCTTCAAGTTAAAAGTATTATGAAGTATGTCTGGGAACCATTTTCTTGTTGGAGGCCCTTAACATCTTCACATATTCCCAAATCAGAAATTAGCAAACCATTTTGACATCTCCCTCTTCCTCAATTCTCTCATACAAGCATCCCTAAGTCATATCCATTGCATTTCCAATGTTTTTCAAATTATTTTTTCCTTTAACATTTGTATTGTCAGTGCCTTATTTTTGCATCTCCTAATTTCTTTCTAGATAACATCCTAATTTTTTCCCCCAAATCTAGTTTTCATCCCCTCCAAATATCTGCAAGATATCACAGTGCTCTTTAAGCAAAACAAATCGGATCACATTTTTCTCTTATTTAAATCTTTTATTATTATGCTCCTCTAACTAGGATGAATATGCATCCCAGTTTGTCCAAATGTAGATATTCCAGTTTTATACTTGCTGACTAGCATAATTGTCAGGAGTGTCTCCTTTCACTCTCAGAAGTGCCTGTTCTGAATTCAAAATTATATAGTTAGCCTTCTCATTGCCTTCATTATTTTGTTTTAATTCAATAATCTTACATTAAAATCTTCATTTATAATGTGAGTCCTGCCATTAAGAGATGCAAGATTGCTCTTACACCCGGCTTTACCCTTTTACAATTTGAGTTCATCAAAATCATGGATTATGTCTTAAAAACAATTAGTATTTAACACCATGCCTGCCATTGAATAGGCATGTAATGATGTTTATTAAATTTTAAATAGTTATATTTAAAATTGAAGGTTTTGTTATTAATCATATTCTATGTGAAACATCCTTAGATTATTGAAAGCATCCATATGCTTTTCGACATTCTTTTATATATATATTTTTATTATACTTTAAGTTCTAATGTACATGTGCACAATGTGCAGGTTTGTTACATATGTATACATGTGCCATGTTGGTGTGCTGCACCCACTAACTCGTCATTTACATTAGGTAGATCTCCTAATGCTATCCCTCCCCCATCCCCCCACCCCACAACAGGCCCCTGCATGTGATATTCCCCTTCCTGTGTCCAAGTGTTCTCATTGCTCAATTTCCACCTATGAGTGAGAACATGTGGTGTTTGGTATTTTGTCCTTGCGATAGTTTGCTGAGAATGATGGTTTCCAGCTTCATCCATGTCTCTACAAAGGACACGAACTCATCATTTGTTATGGCTGCATAGTATTCCATGGTGTATATGTGCCACATTTTCTTAATCCAGTCTATCATTGTTGAACATTTGGGTTGGTTCCAAGTCTTTGCTATTGTGAATAGTGCCGCAATAAACATACATGTGCATGTGTCTTTATAGCAACATGATTTATATTCCTTTGGGTATATACCCAGTAATGGGATGGCTGGATCAAATGGCATTTCTAGCTCTAGATCCCTGAGGAATTGCCACACTGTCTTCCACAATGGTTGAACTAGTTTACAGTCCCATCAGCAGCATAAGAGTGTTCCTATTTCTCCACATCCTCTCCAGCACCTGTTGTTTCCTGAATTTTTAAGATCACCATTCTAATTGGTGTGAGATAATATCTCGTTGTGGTTTTGATTTGCATTTCTCTGATGGGCAGTGATGATGACCCTTTTTTCATGTGTCTGTTGGCTGCATAAATGTCTTCTTTTGAGAAGTGTCTGTTCATATCCTTTGCCCACTTTTTGATGGGGTTGTTTGTTTTTTTCTTGTAAATTTGTTTGAGTTCTTTGTAGATTCTGGATATTAGCCCTTTGTCAGATGAGTAGATTGCAAAAATTTTCTCCCATTCTGTAGGTTACCTGTTCACTCTGATGGTAGTTTCTTTTGCTGTGCAGAAGCTCTTTAGTTTAATTAGATCCTATTTGTCAATTTTGGCTTTCGTTGCCATTGCTTTTGGTGTTTTAGACATGAAGTCCTTGACCATGCCTATGTCCTGAATGGTGTTGCCTAGGTTTTCTCCTAGGGTTTTTATGGTTTTAGATCTAACATTGAAGTCTTTAATCCATCTTGAATTAATTTTTCTATAAGGTGTAAGGAAGGGATCCAGTTTCAGCTTTCTACATATGGCTAGCCAGTTTTCCCAGCACCATTTGTTAAATAGGGACTCCTTTCCCAATTTCTTGTTTTTGTCAGGTTTGTCAGAGATCAGATCATTGTAGATGTGTGGTATTATCTGAGGGCTCTGTTCTGTTCCATTGGTCTATCTCTCTGTTTTGGTACCAGTACCGTGCCATTTTGGTTACTGTAGCCTTGTAGTTTTGGTGTGGATGTCCTTTCTGTTTGTTAGTTATCCTTTTGACAGTCAGGATCCTCAGCTGCAGGTCTGTTGGAGTTTGCTGGAGGTCCACTCCAGAATCTGTTTGCCTGGGTACCAGCAGAGCCTGCAGAACAGCGAAAATTGCTGAACAGCAAATGTTGCTGTCTGATCGCTCTTCTGGAGGTTTCATCTCAGAGGGGTACCTGGCTGTGCGAGGTGTCAGTCTGCCCCTACTTGGGGGTGCCTCCCAGATAGGCTACTCGGGGGTGAAGGACCAACTTGAGGAGGCAGTCTTTCCATTCTCAGATCCCAAACTCCATGCTGGGAGAACCACTACTCTCTTCAAAGCTCTTCGACAGGGACATTTAAGTCTGCAGAGGTTTCTGCTGCCTTTTGTTTGGCTATGCCCTGCCCCCAGAGGTGGAGTCTACAGAGGCAGGCAGGCCTCCTTGAACTGCGGTGGGCTCCCCCCAGTTTGGGCTTCCTGGCCACTTTGTTTACCTACTCAAGCCTCAGCAATGGCGAGCGCCCTTCCCCCAGCCTCGCTGCCACCTTACAGTTCAATCTCAGACTGCTGTGCTAGCAATGAGCAAGGCTCCGTGGGCATGGGACCCTCTGAGCCAGGCGCAGGATATAATTTCCTGGTGTGCCGCTTGCTAAGACCATTGGAAAAGCGCAGTATTTGGGTGGGAGTGACCCGATTTTTCAGGTGCCGTCTGTCACAGCTTTGCTTGGCTATGAAAGGGAATTCCCTCACCCCTTGCACTTCCTGGGTGAGGCAATGCCTCGCTGTTCTTCGGGTCATGCTCGATGTGCTGCACCCACTGTCCTGCACCCACTGTCCAATAAGCCACAGTGAGATAAACCCAGTACCTCAGTTGGAAATGCAGAAATCACCAGTATTCTGCGTTGCTCACACTGCAAGCTGTAGACTGGAGCTGTTCCTATTCGGCCATCTTGGAACTGCCCTCACTGACTCAACATTATTTTTAACATGTTTATTTACACATTTATAAAATGATCACTGAGTACTTAATACGTAATCTAGTTGAGCAATGTCCTGGTGATGCTTGGATATGAGAAAATGAAAAAACAAACATCTAATTACAGATGCTCCTCAATTTACAGTGATGTTATTTCTCGATTAACCTATCATAAATTAAAAATATTGCAAATCAAAAATACACTTAAACACCTAACTTATCAAACACTATAGCTTAAGCTTTTCCTAACTTAAAATGCTCAGAACACTCACATTAACCTACAAATTTGGACTCCTACATTTGGGTAGGCTAATGTAAGTATTCTGAGCCCTTTAAGGCAGGCTAGGCTAAGCTATGTTTGTGCATGACACAAAGCCCATTTTACAATAAAGTGTTGAATATCTCAGGTAATAGTATTATATCACATATCAATAGCCCAGGAAAAGATCAAAATTTAAAATTTTAAGTACAATTTCTACTAAATGGGCATCACTTTGACACCATTGTAAAGTCAAAAAATCATAAGTTTGGGATCATCTGTAAATGAGGGCACAATTCCCACAAGAAGATTTCAGAATCAGATTCAAGATATTGTGAGGACACAAAAGAGGAAGTTATCAACTCTCAGGGAGTGGAGGGGAAAAAACGGCTTTATGAAAGAAATGACTTTTGGGCAGTCTTGGAAGATAAGCAATTGTAAATAATCAGTAGAACTGCAGTAGGACATAAGACGAGCCATGGATTAGCCTAGACAGGTTACATAGAGGTCAGAGCTCAGAGGAGATTATTGGCCAGTCCTTGTAAACAACGATGAGTGTCTAAAGAGTGTCATGTAAGAGAAAGAGAGAAACAGTATAAAAATTCATAAAAGTCAGCCTGGTAGCAGTGTGACAAGCGTACTTAAAGAAAAAGACACTTGCCCTAGGTCAACAAAGTTTATTTCAGAATAAGAATTATATTAATATATAGGCATCTGAATTCAATAGTATTTTTGCCAAAATCAAGGCATAATATGTAAAAATGTATTCATTTATATCCCACGTTGATTGAAGTCATTTCTTCTAATTTTCAGGTTTTAGCTCTGCCTATGCACGTGGATGAGACCTAGGTCTCAATCAAGGTCTGGCAGTTCAGAAGGTCAAGTCAGACCATCAACCATGGTAGCTACTTCATTGACCAGCCTCACCTAGAATGAGTATAACTGTGAAGCTTTTCAATTTTCTTTATTATTTTAGCCATACTGCTATCATTAGGATATTTGACCTCTCCAAACTTCACGTTGAAATTTGATCCCCAATGTTGAACATGGGGCTTCATGGAAGGTGTTTGGGTAATGGGGGCAGATCCCTCATGAATAGATTAATCCCCTCCTTAGGCATGGTGATGGTAAGCGAATTCTCACTCTATTAGTTACCAAGAGAGCTGGTTGTTAAAAAGGGCTGGGCCTGGTACCTCTCTCCCCTCTCCCTCTTGCTTCCTTTCTCACCATGCAATCTCTGCACATTCCAGCTCCCCTTCACCTTCTGCCATGAGTGGAAGCAGCCTGAGACACTCACCAGATGCAGATGGCCAATTTTAAACTTTTTTCGAAATCAGAATTGTGAGCCAAATAAATATTTTGTCTTTATAAATTATCAGTGTTCTTTACTAGCAACACAAGTGAACTAAGACACATACTGTGTTTGCTTTCTCTTTCCCATCCCTTAATCTGAGTAGAAATTATAACTTTGACAAATTCAATCATTAAATTTACTCCAAAAGGTGGTAAACTAATTCAAAACTTTCTCCTCCCTCACATTAGGCCAGAATTGTATGATATCTCTGGCAACATCTTCTCCTTTCCACTCCTTTTAGAGTAAACAGAGATGAATTTATGCATTGGTTGCCTGTACGTGGTATGAGAACATCCTTGGCCTCAGTTTACTTCGTTCAGATTTCATCAGTTGCTAGTAGCTTTTGCTGATATGTGAATGTTCTGTGCTTATTAAGAAAGGTTATTATTGTGGTAACAAAATCTACCTTTAAATCTAGCGTTATAAATTCAATTATTTTACTGTTGATCCCTTTAAATTCACCATATTCCATGAATAGAAAGTGTCTAGGACTTGGTCCTGTGGGAATTTCTTATTTTAAGTAAACACTGAGTGCTAATGCATGTCAGCTCTCCTCTTGCCATTTTGAGATTTTCAAGATCTTGCTAGCTTTGAAAGTTGAATTGGGTGAAATAAAAATGCTGCAATATTAAAAAAATTTAAATCTCAAAGACCTCAAGACATAGTTCAAGACTTTTAAAAGTTCAAGGGTTTGTCAATAAATAATAAAGAATCATTTGTTGCTTTAACAAAGAACAGCAAAGGATGTGTAACATAACTGGAACATTCAATAATGGCTCTATCAAATTCCTAAAATAAGCTTAAAGAAACATAAGATCTACATATTAATATTTATGACTGTTTCTGAAAAGGATATGAGTTAAAATCTTTCCCAACAGTTGATATTAAACAAAATGTTTGTCCAAACAAAAAAACAGAAATTTAATTGTATTCTTAATTAAAATGATGTAACTCATATTATATGCCAATTAAAAAATAAAGGGAACCACTGGGGGATTGGTCATTTAAAAAACTGATATAGGGGCTGGGCGAGGTGGCTCATGCCTGTAATCCCAGCACTTTGGGAGGCCGAAGTGGGCGGATCACCTGAAGGCAGGAGTTTGAGACCAGCCTGACCAACATGGAGAAACCCTGTCTTCTACTATAAATACAAAATTAGCTGGGCGTGGTGGTGCATGCCTATAATCCCAGCTACTCAGGAAGACTAAGGCAGGAGAATCGCTTGAACCTGGGAGGCAGAGGTTGTGGTGAGCCGAGATTGCACCATTGCACTCCAGCTTGGGCAAGAAGAGTGAAATTCTGCCTCAAAACAAAACAAAAAACTAATATAGGTGATGAAAATTGTGGCTGTTGTTATAAATTGTTACTGGTCAATGAGTTTACTACAGAAACGTGTACACACACGTATACAATAAATGCTATATATTACATGAATTTGAAAAATAATATGCATTATGGGACAGCAACTTCAACTTTTCACAGATTTTAAATGCAAACATTTGAAAAATGAAGGAAGAAGAGAATATAGAAGTGGAGAAGGAGCTGGGGAAAAAGGAAAGGAAGGAAATGAGAAATACACCTTGGATAAACAAACTGATAAGTTGGTGCATTTTGAAAAGAGAGTTGGATAGAGAACTGAACCATATTGGTAACTGGAGATATGACTCATTATTTCATGTAATGATGGTATTAAGCACCAACTGGGCTAAGAATGCATTAAAGGAAAAAACATAGGCATTGGAAACAGGAGAGCTGCGTTCAAATCCTGGACCTATAGTTAAAGCTCCCTAAGGACTCACTTTCCTTATGTTTCAAGTAAGAGGGAGAGAGGTACTCATTATTCTTACCTTAAAGGTTAATGTGGGGGGTTAAATGCTAAGAGGCAAGAAACATATTGCTTGCTACAATTAGTGCTAAAAAATATTACCCCTTTTCTTACTCAATTTGAGAGGTGCTAGGTTCTTAACATTTGTGCATTTTCTTGTTTGTTTTACATATAGGCAGAGGAAAGGCAAGATACCATCTTTAGTCATTTAAATCTATGATTTGGAGAAAAGATGTTTTCAAAGTATCCTTGCTCATTGACTTTGCTATACTAGACAGTATGAGTATTAGCTTGCAGACTTTATGAGTGTAATAATAAAACAGAATTCTATGCATCTAGAAGTATAAGCAGAATTTTTACTGAGTAATTTTAAAACTTTTTTTGCTATTGTTCAGATCAGCTTAGTCCAAATTTTTTAATTAGTTATTGAGGTAGAGACTAAAATGTACTTTCTCTTACATTACATACTGAAAATATTATTGCATGTTTGATTAGTTAATATGCATATTATTAATTATTGTAGGTAGTAAGAAAACTGATCTAAAATCTTTGTTTACTCAACCTGTTTATCATGGTCTTAAGGAACTTTTTGTAAACTGCTTTATAATTTTACTGTCATATATTCAGAATAGTCTTATTCAAATACATCCAAAACACTGAGTATATCAATAAAGTCTTTCAAAAACCAGGAAAAAATAGTGGGTTTTTCCAAAGATAGAACTTAATATAAGAATTTCTGTAACTGTACTGAAGGACTGCCAAAGGACATAATGGAGTAACAGAAAGATTAATAAATTCAGAAAGCAGGGATCTCCCATAAAAGAAGAGCAATGAAAGATAGAGGTTGGGGTTATTAAAACCAAAAAGCTTAAAGCCATACCTCTGTAGAGTTGGCACTTATACTTCTGAGGTGAGGTGCTGGCACCTCAGGGGGCATGAGGTGAAGCCTTGAGGAGCTTCAGTCAGATGCATGAGGAAGGTGCACTGCATGGATGGCTGGTGCTGGTTACTCAGATGCTCAGGGGAGGAGTCCCACATTGTTGGGCCTCAGAGATCTGAGGAGAGGATGCTGCATTCGAGGTCCCGGAATCCCTGAGGGGAGCTTATATGGTTTGGCTCTGTGTCCCCACCCAAATCTCATCTTGTAGCTCCCATAGTTCCCACGTGTTGTGGGAGGGACCTGGTGGGAGATAGTTGAATCATGGGGTCGGGTCTTTCTTGTGCTGCTCTCATGATAGAGAGTAAGTCTCATGATATCTGATTGTTTTAAAAATGGGAGTTTCCCTGCAAAAGCTCTCTCCCCTTGCCTGCTGCCATCCACATAAGACGTGACTTGCTCCTCCTTGCCTTCTGCCATGATTGTGAGGCCTCCCCAGCCATGTGGAACTGTAAATCCATTAAACCTCTTTCTTTTGTAAATTGCCCAGTCTCAGGTATGTCTTTATCAGCAGCATGAAAATGGACTAATACAGTATATTGGTACCAGGAGAGTGAGGCACTGTTGAAAAGATACCCCAAAATGTGGAAATGACTTTGGAACTGGGTAACAGGCCAGGGTTGTAACACTTTGGAGGGCTCAGAAGAAGACAGGAAAATGTGGAAAAGTTTGAATTTAGTAGAGATTTGTTGAATGGCTTTGCCCAAAATCCTGATAGTAATGTGGACAATAAAGTGCAGGCTGAGGTGGTCTCAGATGAAAATGAGGAACTTGCTGGGAACTGAAGCAAAGGTAACTCTTGTTATATTTTATCAAAGAGACTGGTGGCATTTTGCCCCGCCCTCGAGATCTGTGGAACTGGGAACTTGAGAGAGATAATTCAGGGTATCTGGCAGAAGAAGCTCCTAAGCAGCAAGGCATTCAAGATGTGACTTGGGTGCTGTTAAAAGCTTTGAATTTTAAAAGGGAAGCAGATCATAAAAGTTCAGAAAATTTGCAGCCTGACAATGTGATAGAAAACAAAATCCCATTTTCTGAGAAATTCAAGCTGGCTGCAGAAAGTTGCATAAGTAACAAGAAACCGAATGTTAATGCCCAAGACAATGGGGAAAGTGTCTCCAGGACATGTCAGAGGTCTTCACAACAGTCCCTTCCATCATAGGTCTGGAAGCCTAGGAGGGAAAAATGGTTTTGTCGGCCAGGCCCAGAGTCCCTGTGCTGTTGTAGGCTAGGGACATAGTGCCCTACATCCCAGCTGCTCCAGCCATGGCTGAAAGAGGCCAATGTAGAGCTTGGGTCATGGCTTCAGAGGGTGCAAGCCCCAAGCCTTGGCAGCTTCCACATGGTGTTGAGATTGCAAGTGCACAGAAGTCAGGAAGATTGAGGTTTAGGAACTTCTGCCAAGATTTCAGAGGATGTAAGGAAAGGCCTGGATGCCCAGGCAGAAGTTTTCTGCAGGGGTGGGGCCCTCATGGAGAACCTCTGCTAGGGCAGTGCAGAAGAGAAATGTGGGGTGGGAGCCCCATACAGAGTCCCTACTGGGGCACCTCCTAGTGGAACTGTGAGAAGAGGACCACTGTCCTCCAGAACCCAGAATGGTAGGTCCACCGACGGCTTGCACCATGTGCCTGGAAAAGCTGCAGACACTCAGTGCCAGCCCATGAAAGCAGCCAGGAAGGAGGCTGTACCCTGCAAAGCCACAGGGGCGAAGCTGCCCAAGACTGTGGGAACCTACCTTGTGTGTCAGAGTTACCTAGATGTGAGA
This sequence comes from Homo sapiens, assembly GCF_000001405.40. Taxonomy (NCBI): domain Eukaryota; kingdom Metazoa; phylum Chordata; class Mammalia; order Primates; family Hominidae; genus Homo; species Homo sapiens. Next base: position 89,849,978 of record NC_000004.12, on the reverse strand, counting down.
CATGGAGTCAAAGGAGATCATTTTGGAGCTTTAAGATTTGACTGCCCCACTGGATTTCAGACTTGCATGGGGCCTGTAGCTCCTTTGTTTTGGCCAATTTGTCCCATTTGGAATGGCTATATTTACTCAATGCCTGTACCTCCATTGTATCTAGGAAGTAACTAACTTGCTTTTGATTTTATCATAGGTGGTATCATAGGTGGAAGGGACTTGCCTTATTTCAGATGATACTTTAGACTGTGGACTTTTGAATTAATGCTGAAATGAGTTAAGACTTTGGGGGACTGAGAAAACATGGTTGGTTTTGAAATGTGAAGACATGAGATTTGGGAGGGGCCAGGGGTAGAATGATATGGTTTGTCGCTGTGTCCCCACCCAAATTTTATCTTGTATCTCCCATAATTCCCACGTGTTGTGGGAGGGACCTGATGGGAGATAATTCAATCATGGGAGTGGGTCTTTCCTGTGCTGTCTCTCATGATATTGAATAAGTTTCATGAGATCTGATGGTTTTAAAAATGGGAGTTTCCCTGCACAAGCTCTCTCTTCTTGCCTGTTGCCATCCATGACATGCTCCTCCTTGCCTTCCACCATGATTGTGTGGCCTCCCCAGCCATGTGGAACTGTAAGTCCATTAAACTTCTTGCTTTTGTAAATTGCCCTATCTCAGCTATGTCTTTATCAGCAGCATTAGAAAAGATTAACACAAGAGCAATAAGAATGTTTCTGGACATGTAGAAAGAAGTTAAAGGCTGGAACCAATTGCTGTCACTGGAACAAAGGAAGATGGCTGGAGTGCGGGTGCCACTAACAGTAACAATTATCAAATAAGAAGGATCAAACGCCTTTTCTCCCGCCTTTTACTGTCTTCTAAAGTCATTAATTGGCAGAATATCATAGAAAGCCAGATGGTACAGGAACATAATTTGTAGACCTTAGCCCCAGTGCCAGAGAGAAAGGGGAAAAAAATAGACTTAAAGAGCAATGGCTTTGTAACTAGCATACTGACATTTTGTAAGTTTAGAAAACTCTTATTTTATCAGTTTTGTTCTGCAAATTCACTTATTTAGTTATTAACATGTGTTGTTTTTGTGATAATCCATCAAAAAGAACTGAGTATCTGGTGTTTATGGAAAGCAAACTAATATCTGAGTATAATTTTCATTTCAATGTTAAATGTCTTTATTTAAATACAGAGAACAGTCGACTATCATCATCATTTCAACTGATTATCCAACTATGACATCTAGTTGTAAAACAGAAATTAATTCTCAGAAGTTATTACTTTCTATCAAACCTTAAATATTCATCAATAAGATACATCTTTTCTAGGACCCTATAAAATGATTAATAAATTTATTATTATTATTTACTGTACAAATATTCTGCTGTTATTTATTAAAACAGAAGTATTCCATATCCTGAATCAGTACAATGTTAATCTCCTCTGTTTACTATGTCCATGGAAAAATGTGCCAGTGATTTGATTAGGACCATAAATATTTGTTTTTGTATTCAGAGTCCCTTCATGTTGTCAAAATCCTTACTGCCTGTATAATCATGTTTATTCCTTGTGATTTTGTTCGTTTTTTTTTGTTTTTGAGACAGAACCTTGCGCTGTCACCCAAGCTCCTGGAGTGCAGCGGCATGATCACTACTCACTGCAGCCTCGACCTCACATGTTCAAGTGATCTTCCCCCCTCAGACTCCCAAGTAGCTGGTACTACAGGTGCATGCCACCAAGCCCAGCTAATTTTTAAATTTTTTGTAGATACAGGATCTCCCTTTGTTGCCCAGACAGGTCTCAAATTCCTAGGCCCAAGAATTCCTCCCACCTCAGCCTTCCAAAGTGCTGAGATTACAGGCATGAGACAACATGCCCAGCCCTGGCATTCAATTTCAGCATCTATAAAACTGTATTTATTTTAAGGTTCCTCTTGAATCACAATTTATCCACTGAGTATACATATCAGGACACAAAACACACTCTATCACAACTGGAAGGACAGGAAATTTGGAGAATATAGTATAAAACTAATGTAGTAACAAGAGTAGCCTAATTTTTCCCAAAGGGTCCATGAATTCACACCCTACTGGACAGCTGCTCTCAAGTTTTCATTTTTTTCACAGAGTGTTCAATAATTCTGTCATTGAAAAGTGTTTCTGCCAGGATTGATGGTGTGAAATAAAATTTATGGGAGCCATTGCTTTGGACTGAGATCTTGCACTAGGCCCAAGGGACCAGACAAAAATAGTGACTCATGTTACAGTCCCACATTATCAAGCCAAAACTAAGTTGTTTGTCTGACCTTCCTAGAAATCAAGAGAGTAAGAGACAATAGCCAAATCCCTAGAGGAGCCAGTTTTAGCTAGCATGATAAGGAAGTCCCCTCTGCTTTAACTTTTATAAGGAAAGAACCTTTGAAATAAGAAATCTACTTTTTGCTCTCTGTTTCTGCTTTCCTTGGCCTTTTACTGTATATAAAACCAAACTCCTCTGCTCAGCTTATCAAAAAACTCATTATATTATATAGAATGAAGTGTAGCCTGATTCTAGAATTACAGATAAAAGCCAATTAAGACCTTTAAATAAGTTGTAATTTTGTCTTTTGGCAACAGTTTCTGAACTGAGTCTGGGAAATAAATAATCCAACAACCAGGTAAAAGGAATAGAGAAAGATGAGTGAATTCCTTAAAGCTGTCTTTTCTCATTCTGGTAAGTTCCTTCACTCTACTAAAATAAATAATTCTACCACCTGGATAAATTTGGTTCCTTAATGGAAAAATAATATCATCAGTAAAAGTGGAAACTCTGGGTAAGAAAACGGAAATAATTAAAATGCCTAAACCAACTTTATTGTCATTAAAATATCAAACAGATGAACTAGAATGATTCAATAAGATTTCAAATCAACTGTTAGCAGTCTTTTCATGTAGAAAGAAGTCTGCATTTAGGAAGCCGTTGAAAGAAATTGCTAAGCTCTAAGGACAGGTCCTGTCCAGACCAAAGCAGGCCCCTAGCCCTAACAGGGATCCCTTGGGTAAGGAGACCATTTGCTGCAATAAGAAAAAATGACATCAAAGGAGAGGCTGAGTGCTATGATCTGAAGATCAGCAGGTGAGGAATCTCTTGGGAATCTCCTGGATGCTTGCTCTGGACACAAGGCAGGCACTGGAGATGTAAAGAAATGTGTGGCCCTCAATTGTTCAACAAATAGCCATCAGTTCAAACTGAATATGTAATAACGCATCGGTCTGCAATCAGAATTTCAAAGCCCAGAGAAATACATTTAAAAGATCAATCCTTTAGAATATAGCAATATTCTTTATTGTCTATGCCCTGTTTAGCAATCAACCTTCCACATTTTCTACTGAGTTTTCTAGACAGCTTAGAATGAAAGTCCTACAGGGTAAGAAGTTCAAGAGTTAATGGATGCTTTTGTTCTTCCAGTTGGTTCTAATAAGAGTGGTAAAATACAACAGCATATTCTTTATAATTTGATTTTAATCCAATTTTGTACATTCTCAGACCTAAACATTGTTTACCACACTAATTATTTTTGAAGTTAACCTCCCCTCAATACCCTTTTTAAAGAGTGAGTGCTGAAATTATAACAGCCATATGATATTGATGAGGCTGCTTTTAGAGCCTCAAATTCAACTCCAGAAATTTATTTTTAGTTGTGCATATTTATTGTAAAATATTTGTAGTGCCAGCTTATGTTTTCTATGTCCAGATTTTGTTCTCCACCTTCTGAAGCCCACAGAGTGTGAAACAAGCATTTACAATGGAGATGATGGTGCTAATTTTATGTATTTTATTCCCTGGCATATTTGATTGCAATAGAGTAGACAAAAGGATGGATTAGTAGCTATGATCTCTCTCTCTCTCTCTCTCTTTCTCTCTCTCTCTCTCTCTCTATATATATATATATACACACACACACACACACACACGGAAGGCATCAGATATCTCATGTGTGTATACACATACATATATATAGGATATAATGATTTATGTGATATATATGTGATGTAAGTCTTCATGTCTTCCATAGGTATAGTACCAGTTGGTTAATCTTGGGCCAGTCATGTAGCTTCTACAAACTTTAGGCTTTCTGGACAAAGCAGTATATAATGTTCATTATGTAGCTATGCCAAAACAAAGGTCAAAATAAAGAAAGATTCTACCTAGAGCAAAAGAGAATTTATATATATAAATTTTATATGCAAATTATATACAGCTTTATATACAAATATAAATATCACCCTGATGTAGTAGTTTGCTAGGATTGCCATAACAAAATGCTACAGACTGTGTGGTTAAACAACAGAAATTTATTTTCTACCAATTCTGAAAGCTAGAAGTCTGAGATCAATGTATCAGCGGGGTTGGTTTCTTCTAAGGCCTCTCTCCTTGGCTTGCAGATGGCTGTCTTCTTCCAGTGTCTTTATATTGTCTTCTGTGTGTGTGTGTCAGTGTTCTAATCTGCTCTTCTTATAAAAATATCAGTCAGATTAGGGTTCACTCCAAGGTAAGAACTGAAGAGCATGCTCTTTTCTTTGATGGGGACAAGTGACTCTATCTAGACATAAGTCTTTGGAGAGCAGTCTCTCAGATGCTGACCCTCTCTACAATGGAGAGAGCGCATGGCATGGCCTGCTAAGCTACTTCTCTGCCATTCTGCTAGGCAGGTTTCAGGCCCTGACAATATAAGACGTGAGCCTCTACTCATCTTTGGATAAGTCTCTCTGCATTATTGCAAATACAAGAAGCATTTTGTAGCTGTGTAGTAAAGAGAGGAGAACACTTGCAATATTCTCAGTCAAGATTCTCAACTCCCTGAAGAAAAACAGTGTATTTTACATAAATTCATGCTGTTATAATTACATTATATAAAAAGATTATTAACCAAATATTGTACATATGAAAACAGAGTTGAAAGCTCTTCAACTATTTCAACTGATGACTCCCAAGATGGACCTGACTGTACTGATATAATCTGATGGATTTTTATTTGAAGCTATTCTAACAGAACTATATTTTATGGTATGGAAACGAAGAGAATTGTTTTAGGGAAGAGCATGTTTAATGTTTTCAAATATTTTTGTCTCTGACTTAAATTTTGGCTTTTCTAGTTTGTTTCAAATTTTCACACTTGGGTCAATTCTCTTTTGCTCTAGGTAGTTTTTTTTTTTATCTTGACTTTGTTTTGGTGTATTTCTGCCTGACTGGAAAAGTTTTTGTAACCCCACTTTCTTTTCATCCGATTAGTAGCTCTTCTGTGTCCATAGATAAATATATCCTTTACTTCTGTGAGCATTATTTTGGTATATGTATTTTTGTTCCAGTTAGGAAAAGAGCAGCAAAATGATTTTCTTTCTTGTTTTCTTCCTAAAACTTGATTTAGAAGCTAAGTGGGAGCAGCCCTTTCACACACCATCATGGTAGTTATTTACGTGCATTAGCGCGATTCATTTTCACAAATTTATGAGATGGTTAAAGTTAACTTTCATTTCTTAAAGAGAGAGAACAAGTGGAGAAAAAGTTCAACTGCAGAGGCTTGAGATTGTATTGTGTGTTGCTTAAGAAGAAATATGGAGTCAAAGTGCCTCATCATTTACCAGTTGTGTGACATATCACAAAAAGAGGGAGTGTAACCAGCCAAAAATTTAACTTGGACAATTGGATTGGTAAAAACTTTTTATGGGATATGCAGGAATACAGTTCTTAAAATTTTATAAGATGGCATAAAATTTATTTCTTTGATAAATGATATTTTCTTAAGATATCTTTCTAGAAATGGAATTGCTGAGTCAAGATGCATATTGAGGGATTTTGATACATATTTTTAAATTACCTTTTAGAAAAGGTAATTTTTAGTAGGAAAGTAGAAGTTTATCTCCTATTGCTAGGCATACTGATTTTTTTCTTTTTCTTATCTGCATTTAATCACTTTTCTTTAATGAGCATATACTACTTGTATAACAGAAAATAAAGGATGATTATATTTGGGAAGTGTCATGTCAGATTGTCCTGTCCAGTTTGAAATCCACTTTGACTTTTAATCTACCTTGAGATGTTATTTTAGCTCCCTACAGGTTAAGGGCATAATCCAAGATGATTAAGGAGATTGAATTCTCATTTAATTGATTGTTGCCACAGACACTTACACAGAGATAAAGTCATTAAACACATGTCTCTTTTACATTTGAAAAGACATGGCAAATAATTTTACTGCTTTCTTTAGTATACATAATGTCATAATATTGTGAGTGTGCATGTGTATACCATTCTGTCTATATCTTAATGATCTAGAATGTATATGCTACTTTCTTACATGCAAATGAGCTGTACATATTTGAGTAATATTGGTGACTTTTTTATATAAATCAATTTTTCCTTTTGATGATTACATTATACGAAGATGTTTGAATGCTGTTTTTTCTTTGTTATGTGTATGCTTATATCTGTGAAACATCTAGCTAGATGTCCTGCAGGAATCAGTTTTACATATGTAAACAGGCATATTTCTGCACTCTAAATTTTGATAATTAAAATAATTCGTAACTTTATTATTCAACTCTCAAGTGTTTAATAGCCATTACTAACAAAAATTTCTCTTTGTGGCTAATCTGATTACTTGGAATCTTTTTTATTGTGACCAAAAAAAGCAACCCTGCACATACAACTTTAACTTCAATATTTTAATGACGAAATTTAAGGATAATTTAAATAGAAATGGACTCAGAAAAGAATCAGTAAGACTTAGTGAAGGATCATTGTCTATTATAGAGAAGTTGATTTAAGATTAACTTATTAGTAATATTTAACATATATAAAGAATTATTAGACTGGGTATATAGACAAGCGTTTTATTCTTGGAAGACAAAAAGAAGAAAAATTGAATTCAACCGATGTATACGAAAATAAAAAGTAACAGTAAATTAAAAATAGATAATTAAATAAATATATGATACAGTATAACGTTTTATAGCCAAGATGATGTTACAAATCCATATTTATTGACATGGATATGTTTTTATACTAAAGTGTTTATCAAATAGCCATTAAGAGATAACTTCTTTGAATAATTTGCTTTCTAAATTTCTTAACTACATAAATTTCCAGCTTTATATGGAACACCAAGTTTTCAAACCATTAGTGATGTGCTTTTTATATGGTGTTAAAAAGTTTCTTTCTTTCTTTTTTCTTTTTCCCCCAAGATGGAGTCTTGCTCTGTCGCCCAGGCTGGAGCGCAGTAGTGCGATCTCGGCTCAGTGCAACAACCACCTCCTGGGTACAAGCAATTCTCCTGCCTCAGCCCCCCAAGTAGCTGGGATTACAGGCACCTGCCACCACGTCCAGCTGATTTTTGTATTTTTAGTAGAGACGGGGTTTTACCATCTTGGCCAGGCTGGTCTCTAACTCCTGACCTCAGGTAATCTGCCCACCTCAGCCTCCCAAAGTGCTGAGATTACAGGCGTGAGCCACCATGCCCGACCTAAAAAGTTTCTTAAACGTCACTTTATACTCTCAAATTATCTAGAAAGGAAAACGTATTAGATTCCTGGATATTTTGGATATTGTAAGGAACATACTTATTTGCTGTATATACTCTGTTTGTAACAGTATTGTAACTTCAGTTCAAAACAATACACAAAACATTACAAGTTCCCGTGATATTTTAAAAATTCATTTATTTTCTTCCTTTCTGAATACAAATGCTGTTCAGTCTGTTGATTCTTCACTAATCTGAAATATTAGGGACTGATTTCTGAATTGGATATTCATTCTGAAGCCTTTCAGAGCCACTGGCACAAAGGGTCTGTCAAACTTGGAACACCATTTGTTGTATCATTTTATTTTTTTCTCTTGGCAAATCCACATAATTCATACAGGACTATGCCAGTGTCTTTTGAAAGAAACAAGGTTTAAGAAAGTAAAAATGTTAATAAAGATAGTGAATGTTAATTCTGTCATTGTTACTGTATTTCTTCAAGCTGTGGCTGCAAACTGCTTTGAGTGATGTTATTGTAACTCGCACATTAGGGAGAGAAAGAGATGTTTGGTAGATTTTTAATTAATGATCCCTATCAATGCTCCTTGAGCTTTCCCACTCTATCTCTCCACAACTTCCATCCCTGGTTGGAAATTTTTTGCTTACCCATACTAAGTGAGAGTTATTGATGGGAAGGCATCAGATATCTCACGTGTGTTGCTGGTGGGATGGGAGACTGTGGAGGATGGGAACAGGTGGAAATCTACTGCAATGGAAAAAAAAAAAAAGCATGTCCTAGGACACCCAAAACATGGAGGCTAGATAATAACAATAGCTACTTGTACTGAGAGCTTCCACTCTGCCTGGCTCTTTGCTATGAGCCACATTATTCATTCCTTACAACAATCAAACAAGACAAGTAAAATATCATGCCCATTTTTTAATGAGAAAACTAGAGATTAGAGAGGTTATAGATACTTGCTCTGAGTCACTAGTAATGAGTAGTAGAGCTTTAATAAGTCCCTGAATTTAGGTTGTATCTAGTACATTTACTCTTAGAAGTCTATCATGCTCACCAGAGTTGCAGAGTTGCGTGTATTTCTTGGGCTCATTAATGTGTTTTTTTCTTTCTAAAACTAAAGTCATTTGAACTTGTTAGATTTTGAAATATTTAAATATCTTTTCTATCTGGCTTTAACATCTTTAATCTTGGAATCTTGCATGCCTTCATATTCTTAGGACCACGAAACCACAGGAATATTTAAAATGATATCTAGTGGAAACAATATGAAGTTGGCCATGGGGTCAAATTAGAGAATCTGAATACTATGCTTCTCCTTGATTGCTCTTCCCATTTCTTCAGAGTAACCCTATTCCCCCATCTCATGCTCACCCCCTTTCCAAAATCATACATAATGATCTCCCAACAGTATGCATTAGGCTTTCTCTACTCTACCCACTATGAAATTACACAAGAAGCCTATCGCAATCTCACTACCTCGTCTCTCTCACAGGTTTACAGAAGGTGAGAGGAAGGTGCAGATAGAGAATAAGAAGCAGGTGGCTCCAGCATCAACATTACATCACCCCTTGTGTTCACAACAAATACGGAATATTATCCAAAGATAATAAACGTTGTATTTTCTTAACTTAAACACATTAAATCAGTCCTCTCTTTAATCAATTGTTAATGGGCAGCATCTTTATTTTCATGCCATTCTACTCTGCTGTCTTTGCTATAGCACAAGTTTACCACATACCATACCTAAAAATTCAGTTGTTCTATGGGGGTAAACAAAGTCTAGGTTAAGCATATATTTCATAGAATGTTAATCTATAGCAAAATTAATGAATTAAATCCAGATAAAAGAATCCTATTATGGTCTGGTAAAATATTTATATTTCACTTAGCAAAGAGAAAACAAAACATGAATATTGTAGTTATGAACAGAATATGCATGTTAGTAATGCTTCCAAATATGTTATTACTTCATAACTTCATATTTCTTATGAGGTACAAGCCATTCAATTAGTTTAACGTTATATTCAGAGAGGCTAAAGATTTACTGAAGACCATGCTGTCCATCAATAATGAAAAGAAAAATTAAAAAAACTTTATTTTAACTTCTAGTTCCCTTCTTTGTACTTGAGCAGCTTTCCCTCCTTAAGAATACAGACCTAGAACATATGCAATATCACTATCAATATTATGTGTAATTAAAAGTTCATTGGATGTTTACTGTGTTCAAGGCATTTTAAGGAGTGACAAGAGTTAAACATATAGTTGTAATTCAAAATGACAACGAAATTAGTTTACAGTTTTCTTTTTTTGTAGGTAGTAAGAAATCATCTCCCCCTATTGAGGAATACCAATATAGAAAAGGCAAAACTTTAAATATGAATGAACTGTTTCATAATAACATAAGTTCTTCTTGATTTCCATTGTCACATCCAAATTTGAAGGCTATTTCTAACACAGCTGGGTTCTACCTTTTTCCTTCTCACTCTTTACCACACCCAATCTGTGAGGCTTCAGACACAAACTGCTAATTCAGGAGACAATTGTGCCTTCTGTAACAGTTTCTGCTAAATTGTCTCAGCTCTGCCACTTAAAATAGCTAGGTGATCTCAGCATATCACCAAAACTCTTGGAGCTCAGTTTCTCTGTCTATAAAAGTTACATAAAATGTAATTGATCTGCTTGTTATGACTAAATAACATAGTACATTAGTCCTTTGCCAAAGGACTAACAAATTACCAAATAAAAGTTTGGAATCATGTTAAACGTTTATAAGAAGTGCAACTGTCCAGAAATAATTCTCTCACATTGGTCTGTTGTAATGAGACCTAAAATATCTCATTTTATTTACCTCTTTGACTTAAAGCACTAGGTCTCAAGGAGGTCATGGTTATACTATAAATATGTCATGTGAAATAATATATTAAATAATTGTTGTAATACTCTATTGAGATACTAGTTGTAAAGAGGCACAATGGAAAACTTATACTATTAACAGTAGTAAAAAGAAACAACAAAAAGCAATAAAAAACAAAACACCCATTCATGCAACGACATGAACGAACCTCACAAATATTATACTGAGTAAAAGAAGTCAGACAAATATAAAACAAAGTTTATACTACGTGATTAGATCTTTATGACATTCTAGAATATGCACATGAAGGTACAAGGTAACTGTCTGGAATGATGAAAATGTCCTGTGTCTTCAAAATAGTGTGGGTTACACTAATGCATGGCTTTTTCAAAACTGATTTAAAGGGACACAACATCTGAGCATTTCCCTAGGTGTAAATTACACTGCAATTTTAAAGAATCATCTAATGATATTGTGGTTATTTTTAAACAGTCCTTAAATTTTGTGGATGCATACTGAATGTTTACAGCTGAAAAGATATATATAAAGCTTGAATTTGGTAAAAAAAAAAAAAAAAGAGGGAGGATTGGTAGTGATAAAGTGAGTGGACTTATGGATGAGACATGATCAGCCATGCATTGAAAAAATGTAAAAGTTGGATGATCTTCACATGAGAGTCCTTTATTCTGTCTACTTTTGCATATGTTTGAATATTTCCCATAACAAAAAGTTGAAAATAGAGTGATCACATGAGTTAATCTCCTAATTTACAAAAAAGAAAACTGGAAACAGAAGGAGAACAAAACTTGTTCAAGGTCTCAAAGCCAGACAGCAAACTAGCTCCCAAGTCCAACCTTCTTGCTCTGGTCCTAAGCAAACAAAAAATATTAATATGAGCTACTGCATTAAGGAAAGTCTGCTTTTCCAAAGGGCAGACCAATAGTTCAAGGAAGAGTTTAAATAATAAATATTTGTGATCTTACTTTCATGCTTTTCTATTTTCCACTGAACACATATGCATTATCTTCTATATGTCTTTTATGTATAATCATTTGCTTCCTGTTCCTTGTGGTTTTAAAGTTGTTTTGTATGTTTAAATTTGATTTTACTCAAATTTCAGAACCCAAATTAGCGCAAGAATCAGACAAAGCATAACTTTCTATAAATATAAAAACAATTAAAAAAAAAACATACAGCAAAAACGAGTTGTTGTTTCCCCCCTCCTCTTCCAGTGCTTAACTAATCTTCCGAATCCAGGCACAGAAAGCAAAGGCTTTCTGCTAGTGGGAGGAGCTTGCTTCTCCATTCTGGTGTGATCCAGGAACAGCTGTCTTCCAGCTCTGAAAGAGGTGAAAATGTGTTAAGCGATGCAAAAATTGTCTTGAAGTTCGCGTGTGTATGTCTGTGTGCATGTGCGTGTGGTGGGTGGGGGGAGAGAAAAGGGGGTGTCAATTCTGAGGGCAACGAGAATCAGAAGTCAGAAAGGTGAGTGGTGTGTAGCATCTCCCTTTCAGAAGGGGCTGAAGAAGAAATTGGATATGATGGTCCGGTAGGCTAAATCACGCTGGATTTGTCTCCCAGATAAAGGGAGGTCTGCAAAGTAAGTCCCATTTCTAGAGCGAAAAGCCTTAGGACCGCTTGTTTTAGACGGCTGGGGAATATTTATTCCTTGTTCCACTGATGGGAAAATCAGCGTCTGGCAGGCGCTGATTGGTGGAAAGGAAAATGGTGATAGTGGCGTGGAAAGAGGATTTGCTGAGCCTTCTCCTGCCTCCTCAACCTGTGACTCTTCCTTAGTAGTCTCCCTTTCACCCTCAGGACCCTTTCCGGCTCTTCCTAGATTAAGAGCAAACGAAAACCTTGAAGATATTTGAACTAAAGCGACCCCTAACGTTGTAACCTGTGACCGTGATTAAATTTCAGCGATGCGAGGGCAAAGCGCTCTCGGCGGTGCGGTGTGAGCCACCTCCCGGCGCTGCCTGTCTCCTCCAGCAGCTCCCCAAGGGATAGGCTCTGCCCTTGGTGGTCGACCCTCAGGCCCTCGGCTCTCCCAGGGCGACTCTGACGAGGGGTAGGGGGTGGTCCCCGGGAGGACCCAGAGGAAAGGCGGGGACAAGAAGGGAGGGGAAGGGGAAAGAGGAAGAGGCATCATCCCTAGCCCAACCGCTCCCGATCTCCACAAGAGTGCTCGTGACCCTAAACTTAACGTGAGGCGCAAAAGCGCCCCCACTTTCCCGCCTTGCGCGGCCAGGCAGGCGGCTGGAGTTGATGGCTCACCCCGCGCCCCCTGCCCCATCCCCATCCGAGATAGGGACGAGGAGCACGCTGCAGGGAAAGCAGCGAGCGCCGGGAGAGGGGCGGGCAGAAGCGCTGACAAATCAGCGGTGGGGGCGGAGAGCCGAGGAGAAGGAGAAGGAGGAGGACTAGGAGGAGGAGGACGGCGACGACCAGAAGGGGCCCAAGAGAGGGGGCGAGCGACCGAGCGCCGCGACGCGGAAGTGAGGTGCGTGCGGGCTGCAGCGCAGACCCCGGCCCGGCCCCTCCGAGAGCGTCCTGGGCGCTCCCTCACGCCTTGCCTTCAAGCCTTCTGCCTTTCCACCCTCGTGAGCGGAGAACTGGGAGTGGCCATTCGACGACAGGTTAGCGGGTTTGCCTCCCACTCCCCCAGCCTCGCGTCGCCGGCTCACAGCGGCCTCCTCTGGGGACAGTCCCCCCCGGGTGCCGCCTCCGCCCTTCCTGTGCGCTCCTTTTCCTTCTTCTTTCCTATTAAATATTATTTGGGAATTGTTTAAATTTTTTTTTTAAAAAAAGAGAGAGGCGGGGAGGAGTCGGAGTTGTGGAGAAGCAGAGGGACTCAGGTAAGTACCTGTGGATCTAAACGGGCGTCTTTGGAAATCCTGGAGAACGCCGGATGGGAGACGAATGGTCGTGGGCACCGGGAGGGGGTGGTGCTGCCATGAGGACCCGCTGGGCCAGGTCTCTGGGAGGTGAGTACTTGTCCCTTTGGGGAGCCTAAGGAAAGAGACTTGACCTGGCTTTCGTCCTGCTTCTGATATTCCCTTCTCCACAAGGGCTGAGAGATTAGGCTGCTTCTCCGGGATCCGCTTTTCCCCGGGAAACGCGAGGATGCTCCATGGAGCGTGAGCATCCAACTTTTCTCTCACATAAAATCTGTCTGCCCGCTCTCTTGGTTTTTCTCTGTAAAGTAAGCAAGCTGCGTTTGGCAAATAATGAAATGGAAGTGCAAGGAGGCCAAGTCAACAGGTGGTAACGGGTTAACAAGTGCTGGCGCGGGGTCCGCTAGGGTGGAGGCTGAGAACGCCCCCTCGGGTGGCTGGCGCGGGGTTGGAGACGGCCCGCGAGTGTGAGCGGCGCCTGCTCAGGGTAGATAGCTGAGGGCGGGGGTGGATGTTGGATGGATTAGAACCATCACACTTGGGCCTGCTGTTTGCCTGAGTTTGAACCACACCCCGAGTGAGCAGTTAGTTCTGTTGCCTACGCCTTTCCACCATCAACCTGTTAGCCTTCTTCTGGGATTCATGTTAAGGATACCCCTGACCCTAAGCCTCCAGCTTCCATGCTTCTAACTCATACTGTTACCCTTTAGACCCCGGGAATTTAAAAAAGGGGTTAATCTTTTCATGCAACTCCACTTCTGAAATGCAGTAATAACAACTCAGAGGATTCATCCTAATCCGTGGTTAGGTGGCTAGACTTTTACTAGCCAAGATGGATGGGAGATGCTAAATTTTTAATGCCAGAGCTAAAAATGTCTGCTTTGTCCAATGGTTAAATGAGTGTACACTTAAAAGAGTCTCACACTTTGGAGGGTTTCTCATGATTTTTCAGTGTTTTTTGTTTATTTTTCCCCGAAAGTTCTCATTCAAAGTGTATTTTATGTTTTCCAGTGTGGTGTAAAGGAATTCATTAGCCATGGATGTATTCATGAAAGGACTTTCAAAGGCCAAGGAGGGAGTTGTGGCTGCTGCTGAGAAAACCAAACAGGGTGTGGCAGAAGCAGCAGGAAAGACAAAAGAGGGTGTTCTCTATGTAGGTAGGTAAACCCCAAATGTCAGTTTGGTGCTTGTTCATGAGTGATGGGTTAGGATAATCAATACTCTAAATGCTGGTAGTTCTCTCTCTTGATTCATTTTTGCATCATTGCTTGTCAAAAAGGTGGACTGAGTCAGAGGTATGTGTAGGTAGGTGAATGTGAACGTGTGTATTTGAGCTAATAGTAAAAAATGCGACTGTTTGCTTTTCCAGATTTTTAATTTTGCCCTAATATTTATGACTTTTTAAAAATGAATGTTTCTGTACCTACATAATTCTATTTCAGAGAACAGTTTTAAAAACTCATAGTCTTTTAAAAAATAATCAAGAATATTCTTAAGAATCAAAATCATTGATGGATCTGTGATTTCTTTTACCATCATGAAAAATGTTTGTCAATTTTAATCCATTCTGATTTTTAAAATATGACTTTGATATGCCCCTGTGATGTGTATAAAGAGACCTATTTGTGGCCCTAAAATGGAAAGAACAGATTAGTCTTTGATAGAGTTACTTCATGTGATCATTTGGTCTCTGTGAACACTGAGGACAGAGAAAAGTGCTTGAGGGCTGCTACTAATCTCTCAGAAACATTTGTATAGTTCATCCATCAAATGACACACATACTAAAAGAATAAAGAAATTGATGCTTATTACCTACTTGTTCCTAAAGTTCCACCTTGGGGTATACACCCAAACTCTGACTCTCTTTTCTGTAACTTGAACTGTATTCAATTGAGTGTTATTTTACAAACCACTTTGAATTCCTTGGAAAAGAATAGACACACACTCTCATCCACAGGCATAGACACACACACTCAACACAGACACATTGCCCATTCTTCCTCTCTTCTTTCTCCTCTGAGCTTTTTCACATTCTCTGGTGGCAACTATAGCAGTAAGAGTCACAGGATGAACAGTCAGGTGGAGGATGACCACATTGAGTTGCCTAGCTGAAACATGTGCTCCGTCTATGTCTGCAAAGTGAAAGAAAGCTACACTATCTCTTCAACATAGATCAGTGGGGGAAATTTTATACTTGGGATGATTTATATGAATGCATCTCATCAAAGTTCACAACACATTTTTTTTTCAGTTTTTTATTTTCAGTTTTTAGAGTCAGGGCCTTGCTCTGTCGCCCAGGCTGGACTGCAGTGATGCTATCATAGCTCACTGCATCCTTGAATTCCTGGGCTCAAGTCATGCCCCCACCTCAGCCTCCTGAGTAGCCAGGATTATAGGCATGTGCCACTGCCTCATTATTTAGACTTTTCTTATGTTGACTTAATCTTCCCACAAATCTTCAATTAAATTACTTTTTTTCTACCTTAAAACATATTTTCAGAAAGTCATTGAAATAGGGTGTTACAAGAGGAAAAAATTGATGAGTTAATTTTAAATATTTTATGAAGTGTGAATTATACCTTTTTAGATGGAATTTGGAATACTGAATCAGTGACATGCAGTTTATCAATATCTTTCCGTTTGTCCTCAGATTTCCAAGTTCTGCAAGCACAAGTTTCTTTGACTTAGTTACCTTTTAACTGTTCATTGAAATCATTTTCAATGTCTCTCATGGCATTTAACACATAGCACATTCTATAAATTTTTTATTGGTTACATTCTGAGTTCTAATTGAGAGTTGAACTTACACACAGAATTTAAGATAAAAAATGACCATGTGAAGACACAATAGTATAGTCCAGGGATTGGCAAAATTTTGGGTAAGGAATCAGATAGCACGTATTTTAAGCCATGAGATCTATGTCTTGGCCAGGTGCCGTGGCTCAGGTCTTTAATCCCAGCACTTTGAGAGCCCGAGGCTGGTGGATCACTTGAGCCCAGGGGTTTGAGACCAGCCTGGGCCACATGGTGAAACCCTGTGTCTACAAACAACGCAAAAATTAGCCGGGTATGGTAGCATGCATGTGTATTGCCAGCTACCCAGGAGGCTGAGGTAGGAGGATGGCTTGAGCCATACAGCTCACTGCAGAGGTTGCAGTGAGCTGAGATCGAGCCACTGCACTCCAGCCTGGGTGGCAGAGTGATACCCTGTCTAAAAAAAAGAAAAAAAAATCTATGTCTCAATTCTGCTGTTGAAGTGTGAAGGTAGTCATAAACAATAACTAGTGTGGCTGTGTCCCAATAAAACTTCATTTATCAAAACAGGTGGTGGGCTGGAATTGTCTTGTATGTTGTAGCTTGCTGACTACTGATAGAGTGGAAAGAACATGCACTAATCACACAAACCAAAGTTTTAGTTGAGACTACATCACTTATCACCTTTAGGGTCTTGGGGAAGCGTACTTAACATCTCTGAGCATCACTTCCCTGATTAGTAAAAAATATGATTTAGAAAACTGCAACTACCTTGCAGTTTTTGTGGGAATGTCATAATAAGACAGGACATATGAATAATTGAGCACACTTTTATATATAGGAACCATGGTTATTATTATCAAATAAACTCTCCAACGGAATAATTACTTTGCCAACACGTTTTCCATTTATTCTTTTATCCTTCATTACATAACTAGTTTGAAAGATTGGAGGCGACCAAAGACCATTTTATAATTTCACTTATGGCTGAAGATGTTTGGTAGAAGCCTCATAAGAAAAGTAATCTCATTCCTTTATAAGAATATACTTTTAACAACTACTTTTTAACTCATTGAAGAACTACCTTAATGATCAGTGTTATTTTTATGGGTTTTGTTCCCTCCATTTTTGTTATCTGCGTACACCAATTTTCAATCAACATACTTCAATTTAATAGACAAAAATTTCTTCAAATGACTCAGAAATTAATTAGATCTAAATCCAAAAGCAGAAAGATTTAATTATCTTTATATAATGCTCAGTAATATAAATGCAATAAATACAAGAAAATGATGATCTTTGAGTGTCTTCCAATGCCACTCTGCTCAATAAGCAGCAGTGGCCATCAGTGAAATTGATAGCAAATTCTCAAGTCAAAATGTGCTTCACCTCACTAAGCTGACAAAGTCAACATAACATGCACAACAGGGATAACTGAGTTCTCAAAACTCTCAGGTATTACTTCTGACCTTCTTCTCCACTCTGTGCTCTTTTGAGGTTGGGAAGACAAGATAGGGTGTGTGTGGGACACCTCCGCTCAGGGAAGCCATCAGCTCTGGTGTCCCTACAGCATTTATACCTTGCTAGTCACATAACCACTTGGCACCTATTTTGTAGGTGTACGTTATCAATTACAGATTACTCATAAATTAAAGGCTAACCATCAATTACAGATTATTAGTAAATAATTATGACCTCAAAGAACAACTGATTGGTTTGATACATGGTAACCTTATGAGGACTCTCATTTATCTCGTTTTTTTAAGTTATATACCTATCTCTTTGGGGTTGCACTACAAAAATATAAAATATGTTGCATAAGATATTTATAAAAAATAATTAATTATAAGTTCTAATGGTGTGGTTTAGTGGCATTCTTTTTTTTTTCTTTTTTTCTGAGATAGGGTCTCAATCTGTCATTTCACTCCAGGCTGAAGTGCAGTGGTGTGATCTCGGCTCACTGCAACCTCCGCCTCCTGGGTTCAAGTTATTCTCCTGACTCAGCCTCCTGAGTAGCTGAAATTACAGGCATGCACCACCATGCCCGGCTAATTTTTGTATTTTTAGTAGAGATGGGGTTTCACCATGTTAGCCAGGATGGTCTCGAACTCCTGATCTCATCATCCCCGACCTCGGCCTCCCAAAATGCTGGGATTACAGGCGTGAGCCATTGCACCCGGCCTAGTGGCATTCTTTTTTAAAAATAAATTTAATTGTGTATATTTAGGGTATGCAACATGATGCTATCAGATACATTAGACACTAAAAAATTACTATATTGAAGCAAATTAATATATTCATAATCTCTCATAGTTACCTTTTTTGTTGTTTTTGTGGCAAGGGCAGCTAAAATCCACTTATTTATCATGAATCTCAAATATAGTACAATTTTATCACCTACAGTCCTCATACATTAGATCTGTACACTTTTTCATCTTACACATCTGCTACTTGCTTGGATCCTATGGCCTATATGTCCCTATTTTCTACCTACTTTTCCACCCCTATTAACCCTGTTTTTTACGTAGTCTCTGTATATTTGAATTTTGTTTCAAGCTTCCACATATATGTGAGATAATGTAATATTTTTCTTTCTGTGTTTGGCTTATTTCACTTAGCATAATTTTGTCTGGGTTCATCCATGTTGTAAATGGTAGGATCTTGTTTTTTTAGGGCTGACTGATATTCCATTGTATCTATGTACCACAATCTTTTTATCTACCTATCTATCAGTAGACACTTTAGTTGTGGCTATTATGTTTTTCTTTTTTTCTTTTTTGGAGACAGGGTCTTGCTGTCACCCAGGCTGCAATGGAGTGGTGTTATCATAGCTCACTGTAACCTCAAACTTCTGGGCTCAAGAGATCCTCCTGCCTTGGCCTCCCAAGTAGCTGAGACTACAGGCATACATTACCATGCCTGGCTAATTTTTAATATTTTTTGTAGATATAGCATCTCACTCTGTTGCCCAGACTGGTCTCAAACTCCTAATTCAAATTTAGAATAGAGTATGACAATTCTGTAAAATATAAAAAACATGTCCACTCCGTATAGGAAGTTATACAATGAGAAGAAGACAAACACTATTTACATTACTCTTGATAAGTTTTTTACAAAGAAATAAAACACTTTAATTTCTAATGTTTTAAATTCTGGTTTGCTAAATAAATAAATATTAGTTTTAGTGTTTTTAAAATTCCTTATATAGTTATAAGTGATCTTCCTGCCTCAGCCTCCCAAAGCACTGGGATTCCAAGCAAGAGCCACTGTGTTGGGGCCCTTGGAAACAGATATGCTGAAATCTTTTCTTGTGGATCTACACCCAGAAGAGGGATTGCTGGGTCATATGCTACTCTATTTTTAATTTTTCTTTTATTTTTAGTGAATATGTAATAATTGTATATAATTGTGGGATCCAGAATTATATTTCCATACATGTATACAATGTGTGATAATCAAATTAGGGTAATTAACATA